>NC_000005.10:98897685-99200716 GCF_000001405.40 Homo sapiens | reverse complement strand
TACACCACCCTGTGATGTTGTTCAAAATATTCAGCGGGGGGAGAGGATAATATTACTTCCAATATCGCAGGGTTATACACTCCCCTGTCATATTGTTTGAAATATCGAGGGGGGGGGAAAGGATGATATTGCTCCCAATATCACAGGAGGTGTACACCCCCTTTGTGTTATTGTTCAGAATATTCAGGGGAGAAGAGGATGATACTCCCTATATCCCGGGGGGTATACACCCCCCAGTGATTTTGTCTGGCATATTCGGGAGGGAGAGGATGATAACGCTTCCAATATCAAAGTGGGTGTACACCTCCCTATGATATTGTTCGGAATATGCAGGAAGGGAGAGGATGATATTACTTCCAATATCACAGGGGTTGTAAAACTTTTGTGATATTCTTCTGAATATTCGGGGGGGGAGAAGATGATATTACTTTAAATATTGCAGAAGGTGTACACCCCTCTGTGATATTGTGTGGAATATCCAGAGAGGAAGAGGATGATATTACTCCCAATATCGCAGAAGGTGTACACCCAGCTGTGATATTGTTTGTAATATCCAGGGCGGGAGAGAATGATATTACACGCAATATCACAGGGAGTGTACAAACCTCTGTGATATTATTTGGAATATCCAGGCAAAGAAAGGATTATATTACTCCCAATATTGCAGTGGTGTAAACCCCCCTGTGATATTATTAGGAATATCCAGGAGGGGAGAGGATGATATTACTTTCAATATTGCAGGGGGTGTACACTTTTCTGTGATATTGTTCAGCATATTCAGTGGAGGAGAGGATCATATTACTCCCAATATCCCGGGGGGTGGAAACTTTCCTGTACTATTGTTCGTAGTTTCCAGGGGTGGAGAGGATGATATTACTCTCAACATCGCAGGGAGTGTATACCCCCCTGTGATATTGTTCATAATATCCGGGGGGAGAGAGGATGCTTTTACTCACAAATCTCAGAGGGGTACACCTCCCTGTAATATTGTTCGCAATATCCACAAAGGAAAAAAATAATATTACTTTCAATATCGCAGGGGGTGTAAACCTCCCCATGATGTTATTCATAATATCTACGTGGGGAGAGGATGATATTACTCTCAGTATCGCACAGGGTGTTCACCCCCTGTGATATTGTTTGTAATATTCAGAAGGGAAGAGGATGACATTACTGCCAATATTGCAGGGGGTGTACACCCCCCTCTGACATTGTTCGTATTTTCCTGAGGGGAAGAGAATTGCATTAATTTCAATATCTCAAGGGGTGTACACCTTCTTGTGATATTGTTCGTAATATCCAGAAAGGGAAAGGATGACATTACTGCCAATATCGCTGGGATTGTACAATTCCTGGTGATATTGTTAGTAATATCCAGGGCGGGAGAGGATGACATTACTGCCAAAAATTGCAGGGGGTGTACACTCCCCTGTGATATTTTTCGCTATATCCAGTGGGGAAGCCGATGACATTACTGTTAATGTCGTAAGGAATATACACCCCCCTGTGATATTGTTTGCAGTAATCAGACAGGGAGAGGATGACATTACTGACAATATCATAGTGGGTGTGCACCTCTTCTGATATTGTTCGAAATATCCAGGGGGGAAGAAAATGACAGTGCTGTTAAAGGGGGCGTGCACACCCCTTTGATTTTGTTCGAAATATCCAGGTGGGGAGGATGACATTACTGCCAATATCGCAGCGGGTGTACACCCTTCTCTGATATTTTTTGGAATATCCAGGGGGAAGAGGATGACATTACTTCCAATATCACAGGGTATGTGCACCCTCCTGAGATTGTTCTCAATATCCAGGGTGGAAGAGAAGGACATTTCTCCAAATATTGTAAACACGCTGTGTGTACATTCTCTGTGATATTTTTCATAATATCCAGGGAGAAGAGGATATTCCCAATATTGAAGGAGGTGTACACCCCCTATGATATTGTTCATGATATCAAGAGAAAGAGAGTATGACATTAGTCCCAATATCGCAAGGAGTGTACATCTTCCTGTGATATTGCTCGTAATATCCAGGGAAGGAGGGCATAATATTACTCCCAATATCGCAGAGCGTGTACACCCCGCTGTGATATTTTTCATAATGTCCAGGGGCAAAGAGAATGATATTCCTCCCAATGTCGCAAGGGGTGTCCACTTCCCTATGATATTGTTGGCAATATCCAGGAAGGAAGAGGATAATATTACACCAAATATCGCAGGGGTTGTCCACTTCCCTGTGATATTGTTTGTAATATCCAGGCAGGGAGAGAATAATATAACTCCAATAATTGTGAGGGTTGTCCATCACTCTGTGATATTCTTTGTAATATCCAGGGAAGAGAGGATGATATTGCTCGCAATATCGCAGGGTTTGTCCAGCCCCCTCTGATATTGTTCGTAATATCCAGGGTGGGGAGTGGGTGATATTACTCCCAGTATCGCAGGGGGTGTCCACCTCCCTGTGATATTGTTCCTAATATCCAGGGTTTGAGAGGGTGATATTACTCCCAATATCACAGGGGGGTTCCACCGCCCTGTGATGTTGATTGTAATATCCAGGGGAGGAGAGGACTATATTACTCCCAATATCATAAACAGCATGTGTGTACACTCCCTTTGATATTGCTTGTAATATCCAGAAGGGAAAGGATGACATTACTCCCAATATCACGGGGGGAAATACACCCCTGTTTGTTATTGTTTATAACATCCAGGGCAGGAGAGGATAGTATTACTCCAAAAATCGCAAAGGGTATACCTTCCCCTGTAATATTGTTGGTAATATCCAAGGGGGGAAAGGATTATATTACTCCGAATATCCCAGGGGGTGTACACCCCTCTGTGATATTGTTCATTATATCCAGTGGGGGAGAGGATGATATTACTCTCAATATCGCAGGGGGTGTACACCTCCCTGTGATATTGTTCGTAATATCCAGTAAGGGGAGAGGATCACATTACTCCCATTATTGCAGGGGATGTATACCGCCCTGTGATACTGTTTGTAAAATCCAGGGGAGGAGAGGATGATACTACTCCCAACATCGCGGGAGATGGACACCCCACTGTGATATTGTTCATAACATAAAGGGGAAGGGAGGGTGATATTAGCCCCAATATCGCAGGGGTGTCCACTTCCCTGTGATATTGTTGGTAATATTCAGGAATAAAGAGGATGATATTACTCCCAATATCGAAAAGGTTTTCCACTTTCCTGTGATATTGTTTGTAATATCCAGGTGGGAGAGGATAATATAATTCCAATATGGCAGAGGGTGTCCACCCTCCTGTTATATTGTTTGTAATAGACAGGGGGAAAGATGATTACATTACTCCCAATATCACAGGGGGCCTCCAACCCCCTGTGATATTGTTCATAATATCCAGGGGTGGATAGGATGCTATTACTCTCAATATCGCAGGGAGTGTCCAACCCCCTCTGACGTTGATCATAATATCCAAGGGAGGAAAGGATGATATTGCTTCCAATATCATAAACACCCTGTGTGCACACTCTCCCTGATATTGTTCATAATATACAGAAAGGAGAGCATGATATTACTCCCAATATCCCAGAGGGTGTACATCCCACTGTGACACTGTTGGTAATATTTTGGAAGAGAGAAGAGGATATTATTCCCAATATCACAGGGATTGTACACCCCTCTGTGATACTGTTCATAATAACCAGTGAGAGAGATGATCATATTACTCACAATATCGCAGGGTGTGTACACCCTTCTGTGATATTGTTCATAATATCTAGGCGCCAAGAGGATGATATTACTCCCAATATCGCAGGGGTTGTACACACCCCTGTGATGTTGTTTGTAATATCCAGGGAAGGAGATGATGATATTATGCCCAATATCGCAGGTGTACACCCTCTGTAATATTTCATAATATCCAGGGTGGGAGGGATGATATTACTCCCAATATCACAGGGGGTATACACCCCCTGTGATATTGTTCATAATATCAGAAAAATAGGGGATGATATTTCTCCCAGTATCGCAGGGGTGTATACTCCCCTGTGATATTTTTCATAAAATCTATAATAGGAGGAGATGATATTACTCTTAATATCGTAGGGGGTGTACATCTTCCTGTAATATTGTTCATAATATACACAGGGGGAGGGAATATTACCTCCAATATCACAAAAGGTGTACACCATCTGTTACATTTTTCATAATATCCAGGAGAAGAGGAGTTGATATTACTCTCAACATCGCAGTGGGAATACATCCCCTGTGATATGGTTTGTAATACCAGAAGGGGAGGGGATGATATGACTCCCAATATCGCAGGGTGTGTACACCCCACCGTGATATTATATGTAATATCCAGGGAGAAAGAAGACGATATTACTCGCAATATCACAGAGGGTGGACATTCCTCTATTGTACTGTTCATATTATCCAGGCAGGAGGGGATGATGTTACTCCCAATATTGCAGCAGGTGTACACACCAATGTGATATTTTTCATAATATCCAAAAGAAGAGGAGATTATATTACTCCCAGTATTGCCGAAAATGTACACACCCCTGTAATATGTTTCATAATATCCAGGGGAAGGGGGAATGATAATACTCCAAATTTTGCAGGGGTTGTACAATCCCGTGTGATATAGTTCATAATATCCAGGGGAAGAGAAGATGATATTACTCCCAGTATCGTAATATCCTAGGGAGATATTACTCCTAATATCACAGTGGGTTTACACCATATGGGTATACCCTGTTACACTATTTGTTATATCGTAGGGAGATACTACTCCTAGTTTCACAGTGGGTGTACACCATGTGTGTATACCCTGTGATATGATTCGTAATAACCTAGAAAGATATTACTCCTACTAGCACAGTTGGTGTACACCATATTTTTAGACCCTGTGATATTATTTGTAATATCCTGAAAAATATTACTTCTATTATCACAGTGGGTATACACCATGTGTGTACACCTTGCGATATTATTGGTAATATCCTAGGGAGATATTACTCCTACTATCACAGTGAGTGTGCAGCACGTGTGTAAACCCTTTGACATTATTTACAATATCTTAAAAAGATATCACTCCTAGTATCACAGTGGGGGGACACCATGTGTGTATGCCCTATGATATTATTCATAATATCCTAGGGAAACAGTACTTCTAATATCACAGTGCGGGTGCACCATGTGTCTACACACTCTGATATTATTCATAATATCTTAGGGAGATATTACTCCTAGTATCACAGTAGGGGTACATCATGCATGTTCACCCTGTGATATTATTCATAATATCCTAGGGAGATATTACTCCTTGTATCACAGTGAGAATATACAATCTGTGTACACCATGTGAAATTATTCATAATATCCTAGGGAGATATTAACCCTGGTATCACAGGGGGGTTACACAATGTAAGTACACCCTGTGATATTATTTGTAATATCCTAGGAAGATATTATTCCTAGTATCACAATAGAGGTACACCATGTGTGTATAACCTGTGATATTATTCATGGTATTCTCAGCAGATATTACTCCTACTATCACAGTGGGGATACACTCTGTGATACTCTTTGTAATATCCTAGGGAGATATTACTTTTAATATCACAGTGAAGGTACACCATGAGTATACACCCTGTGATATTATACATAATATCCTAGGAAGATATTACTCCTAATATCATAGTGGGTAGTATACCATGTGTGTAAACCCTATGATATTATACCTAGTATCAGAGTGGGGGGTACATTCTGTGATATTCTTCGTAATATGCTAAAGAGATATTACTCCTAATATCACAGTGGGGGTACACCATGTGTGTACACCCTGTAATATTATTTATAATATCCTAGGGAGATATTACTCCTAGTATCACAGTAGGAGTACACTATGTCCATGTGTGTATACACTGTTATATTATTAGTAATATTCTAGGGAGATATTACTCCTAGTATCACAGTAGCAGTACACCCTTGATATTATTCATAATATCCTAAAGAGACATTACTCCTAATATCACGGTGTATGTAAACCCTGTGTGTATACTTTGTGATATTATTCTTGATATTTTAGGGAGACATTATTCCTAATATCACAGTGGGTGTACAACCATTGATATTATTCATAATATCCAAAGAACATATTACTCCTAATATTACAGTGGCTGTATAACTTGTGATATTATTAGTAATATCCCAGGGAGATATTAATCTTAATATCACAGTGGGTGTGCAACCTGTACACCCTGTAATATTATTAGTAATAACTTAGAGAGATAATACTCTTAATATCACAGTGGGTGTACACCCTGTGATATTATTCATATAGGGAGATATTACTCCTAATATCACAGTGGGTGTACACACCATGGTATTATTCATAATATCCTAGGGAGATATTTCTTCTAATATCACAGTAAGAGTACACCCTGTGATATTATTCATGATATTATAGGAAGATATTACCCCTAATATCACAGTGGGTTTACACCATGTGTGTACACTGTGTGATATTAGGAGTAATATCTTAGAGAGATGTTATTCCTAATGTCACAGTGGGTGTACACACTGTGATATTATTTGTAATATCCTAGGCAGATATTACTCCTAATATCACAGTTGGTGTACAACTGTTATATTATTTGTAATATCCTAGGGAGATATTACTTCTAATAACACAGTGGGTGTACACCCTGTGATATTATTTGTAGTCTCCTAGGAAAATATTACTCCCAATATCATACTGGGAATACAACTTAAGTGTTCATTCTGTGATATTTTTCATAATATCCTATGGAGATATTAATCCTAATATCACAGTGAGTGTACACCCTGTGACATTATTCATAATATTCTAGGGAGTTATTACTTCTAACATCACAGTGGGTGTACACCATGTGATATTAATCATAATATCCTAAGGATATATTACTCCTAATTTAACAGCGGGTATACATCATGTGTGTATGCCCTGTGATATTATTCATAATAGACTAGGGAAATATTGCTTCTAATAACACAGTGGATATACAACCTGTGACATTATTTGTAATATTCTAGGGAGGTAGTACTTCTAATATCACAGTGGTTGTACACCCTGGAATATGATTTGTAATATCTTAGGGAGATGTTGATCTTAATATCACAGTGTGTGTACTCTCTGATATTATTTGTAATATCCTAGGGAGATATGTCTCCTAAAATCACAGTGGGTGTACACTCTGTGTTATTAGAAGTAATAGCTCCCTAAGACATTACAAATAATATCACAGTGGATGTACACCCTGTGATACTGTTGGTAATATCCTAGAAAGATATTACTCCTCATATCCCAGTGGGTGTACACCCTGTGATATTATTTGTAATATTTTAAGAAGATATTACTCCTAATATCACAGTGAGTGTACCCCTGTGATATTATTTGTAATATCCTATGTAGATATTACTCCTAATATCACAGTGAGTGTACATCCTGTGATACTCTTTATAATATCCTAGGAAAATATTACTCCTAACATCATAGTGGGTGTAAAACATATGTGTTCATTCTGTGACATCATTCATAATATCCTAGGGAGATACTACTCATAATATCATACTGGGTGTACACCCTGTGATATTATTTGTAATATCCTAAAAAGATATTTTTTCTAATATCACAGTGGGTGTACACACATGGTGTATACCCACTGTGATATCATTTGTAATATCCTATGGAGATATTACTGCTAATATCACAGTGGGTGTACACCTTGTGACATTATTCATAGTATTCCAGGGAGCTATTACTTCTAATATCACAGTGGGTGTACACCAGTTTACAGAAAATAACTTACAGTTCTTATTATCTACTGGCAACTATGTACTACTACTTGAGAACAAGAGACTGATTTTTTTTTTTCCTTCTGGGACACTCCACACTCTGAAGTCTGATGAGTGTAGCAGCCTAGACCGCTTTGCAAGTTCTTCCCTCACTGCCTCCAGGGTCCCAATCCCAGAAACAGCAACTTCTATTCTCTAATCATTTCCCCTCTGTTGTTCTTTCCTCCCCAAACCCTGAAGAGAAATTTCTAGTGATAGAAAGGGAGAATCTATCTTTCTATCTTCAAACCACTAATATTTTGTTTGAACTCTGAAATTCACTGCATTCCCCTGAGGGCCCTTTTTTTTTTTTTTTTTTTTTAATGGAGTCTCGCTCTGTCACCCAGGCTGGAGTGCAGGGGCACGATCTGGGCTCACTGCAACCTCCACCTCCTGGGTTCAAGCGATTCTCCTGCCTCAGCCTCCCGAGTAGCTGGGATTACAGGCACCCACCACCACGCACAGCTAATTTTCGTATTTTTAGTAGATACAGGGTTTCACCATGTTGGCCAGGCTGGTCTCGAACTCCTGACCTTGTGATCCGCCCACCTCGGCCTCCCAAAGTGCTGGGATTACAGGCATGAGTCACCACACCCAGCCAGGCTGAATATTTGGGAAACGAAACTCAGGAGGATCTCTTGGTATGTGCTTTCCCTTCTGTCACATCCTTCCCTGGAGGCAAGGCTCACCTGACAACATTGCTGCTGGAATGGGAGAGAGGGAGAAAGGAAACAGGAAGAGACGATATAATGATAAGTTAATTGTTTAGAAATGCTATGCAGAAACAGATATGTGCACAAATAACCATAATGCAAGGCAGCATGTTCAAAGTGTTGTAAGAAAATAATATAAAATAAATTACAGAATTTTTAAGGGGACAGCTCCCTCTGAGTGGAGCTGAGAGTAGGTAAGGAAAGGGTCCAGAGGATGTAGCATTTAGGCTTCCATGAGGGATATTACTGGCAGAGGTGGATAGGAGAACGTCCCGCATAGGATTTGGGCAAACACTCAAAGCCAGGAAAATCCACTGTATTTTACACAGGGAAGTAATTCAGTTTGAAAACTCAAAACTCCATCCTTGGCTGCAAAAAAAAAAAACTTCAATTTAGAATAAACCATCATAACCAATTATCCCTAAGTCCTAGTGAACTCAAAACACTTTTTTTACCATTGCCGAAAACAGGCAGCGAGTGACCCCAGAATAAATCAAGCTATAAAAGGAGTCAAAAATGATTCTGGGAAAGCTTTTCTGTCAGTTGGTTTGATGTATGTGTCCATTAATTAAAGAGAAGCAGGCCCCAGTTGATGTGTATAAGAATAAAAGGAGCTCTGCTATGTGAGATGATCATGTTTGACTTCTGATTTATTTTCAGGTTACCGAAAAAGAACTTAAAACTCTTATTCCCACTAGTCCTCTACTGCCAAGCACAACATCTTCCAGACACAATGTAAGGGAATTGACTCATGCATAATAAATGCTTTTTCATTATGACCACTGCATCTTCCTGACCCCAGCGGCTCTACACAGTATGTGGTACTGCAACACTATGAGTAGTGCAATTTATTTCTTCCCCAAAATACCTTAAGGTATATGCTTTTATCGGTCAGTTTGTCCTGTCATTTCATTTAGATGTTAAACTTGTCTATGCTTTGTTCTCTTATAGGCATTAATCAGAACACTTTTTATAGGGTTATTTAATCTTGTCTGAAAGAAAACATGAGAAGATTTTTTCTGTAATGGAATAAGCAAAAGGGGTTTCTAAAGGAGAGAGAAGGTTTCAAGGTTAAGAAAAAACTATGTTTTGAACTAAGAAATGCATTTAAATATTATGTTATTCACAAACATATTTCAATGTACAATTATACAGAAAAAAACTAATGTGCAAAATTGATCTCTTACTACTGGAAAAAATGGCATTTTCCCTCAATAATGGTCTTTTAAGTTCTTTCTTCTTATATCTTATATCTCAGCACAAACCTGACATTTATCTGTCATCACTGGGTGTTTTGGTATTTGCATTTTGTTAGCTTTATCGCTTTATCATATTTGCAGATCTTAAGCCCAGCCCACTAGTAAATCGTCTGGAGATTAATAAAGATGCAAAACATAGGTAAAATCTAAAATTTTGAAAATCCACGGGGAGGCTGTTTCTATTGGCAGATCTTTTTCTTAATGCTTGAAGGAATTGCCTGATAAGCTAATTTTTCAAAGAGGAAAAATTTTGCTTTCAAAACATAATTTTAATTTCTCAATTACCTCCATGTGTGATTCCTTAGACTGATAAAATTTCATGTAGAAAGCTCCTAAATGTCTCTCTTTTTCTCCTTAGAAACATAATACATTCTTTCAAAGTCACCACAACTGTTAAGGAAACAATCATTGGACCATAAGTACAAACACTGAAATAAAATTAAGTATTTCTATCAGCATGTTGAAGTGATATCTGCACACCTACGTTTGTTGCAGCACTGTCCACAATAGCCAAGATTTGGAAGCAACTTAAGTGTCCATCAATAGATGAATGGATAAAGAAAATGTGCTACATATATACACAATGGAGTATTATTTGGCCATAAAAACAAATGAGATCCTGTTATTTGCAACAACATGAATGGAAATGGAGACCATTATGTTAAGTGAAATAACCTAGGCACAGAAAGACAAACATCACATGTTCTCACTTATTTGTAGGATCAAAAATCAAAACAATTGAACTCATAGGCATAGAGAGTAGAAGGATGGTTTATCAGAAGGTGGGAAGGGTAGTGGGGGTGGGGGGAGATAGGTATGATTAGTGGGTACAAAAAATAGATAGAATTAATAAGACCTTGTATTTGATAGCACAAGGGGTGACTATAGTCAATTTAATTATACATATCATAATAACTAAAAGAGTATAATTGTTTTGTTTGTAACATAAAGGATACATGTTTGAAATGATGGATACCTCATTTACCCTGATGTGATTATTACGCATTGTATGCCTGTATCAAAATGTCTCCTGTACCTCATAAATATATATACCTACTGTATACCCACAAAAATTAAAAATGTTTTTTAAAAAAATTAAGCATATCTAAATAAGAACTAAACATGAGGTATAGACAGAGTACTAGGCTCTGCCTCAACTTTAATCCATATGTGTGTAGTTCTTTTGGGACAGGGGCTGTTAATATAAAAAATGTTCTCTATTTTAATATTAATAAAGAGTGTGGGGGCAAATATCAGGATAGAATGCTGAAACCCTTGTAGTCCACAAAAATAAATCTATGTTCATAGTGCAAAATAATTCATTGTACATAGGTGACTTATCCAAAGCTTATAAAACCTAAAAAAAATAGTTACTGAGCATATAGCTTGTGTCTAGGATTGTACATTTCACAAGTCTTTCGATGAGATGGCATCAAAGAGAGAATCAAGTTGTTACTCTACAATTCTCTGGATTAGACGCAAAGTTCTTCCAGCATCTCTAGCAAAGACCTTGAGTACCTTGAAGATGTACATTCAATATTTGAATAGAAACAAAATAAGCAATTATTTAGCTACTTTCTCAAATCTTGAAAGTTACCTAGATTCTGCCATCATCAAAAACAAACCTGAAGTATTCCTAAACATGTGTGAGAGTATGGACATGAATATTTGAATATGTCTCCTATGTTTCTCCTTATGCCCTTTCCTATCTTCCATAAATTGGAGTCATTCATTTGGGCTGCCAAGAATGGAGAAAATAGCCATCAATCAGTTGCTTCCTCAAGAAACCTAGAAATTTCAGGTCTATGTTTCTAAAATCCTGATTTGCACAGGAACATACTAGAAAATAACATTTCCCAAAATAAGTAAAAATATTTCTGTTTCTCTTACAGCCCATTGTAAGAATATTCTCCAAATATTGCCTTAACCCTTTAAGTATGAACTAACCTAATCTTCCTTTAATTAGGTACTATTATTGTTGTCATTATTAATACTTTTTAAGCTTCAACAATTAACACCTTTATTCCAAAGTTCTGTGAAAAAAACATTCTATACTCCCTCAATCTCATTTTGCTTTAATAACCCACAGAGAATGACAAATGCAAGTAATTCATTTGTAATACAATTTCCTGAATTTCTATACTTCAGCCTTATAAATCACAAGTATATATGTGACTTAGCAGTTACAAGTATGTGTCCAGCAAAACTTCAGTTTATGGGGGACACAGAAGCACCCAACCTTTCCCCTTAAAACATGTAAAATCAAGCTTGGATGATGTTACAAAAAAATACACATAAAATGCAGAACTGAATGAAGTATTAAATTATGTTTTCCTACGTAGGCAATACCATTCAGGACATAGGCATGGGCAAAGACTTCATGACTAAAACAGTCTTTTTTCAGCTAAGTTAAGATTGAGGAGACTCTTGTGGTTTCTTGCTTGTTATTACAAAGTTATTACAAAGTTATTACGATTTCCACATAAAGCAAACAAGATCATTTGCTTTATGTGGAAATCATAATACCTTTGTAATAACTACATAAAGGTCACATGGCAACTGGGAAGGTTTCTTGTGTCTTCATTGTCAACTCACCAAGGAAGTTTTTCATTGACAAAGACATGAGTACTGGGTAATATAGCAAGGCTGTATGGCTATAGCGAAGCCCTTTTCCACCAAACCCCGTTACACCTGTTCTGACTGCTTAACAGCTGTTACTGCTGATGTTTAAAACGTCTACAGATTTCACTGTAATCTGCCTCCTCCAAGAAAGCTCGTTACTTTTTTTTCTTTTTCACTCTCCTTCCCTCTGGGAAACTTCTTCTCTTATAAAGTGGCTGTACTTTTTCACTCTCTTCTTTTCTTATCATCTGCCTTCTGTCACAGCCCAGCTGGGAATTGATTGAAGGAAAAAAGTGAGAGCTAGAATTGTTTCAAGTCATTTTCTTCTGAGCCTCAGGACACCCCAGGAATTGATTCATATACTTCTCACCTCCTTGCAACCTTCTCTTATCTTTTTCTAGTACCAGTCTAAAACCACAGAACAGCATGTGGCAGCCTGTCACCAAAGGAAACACGTGGTCCCAAACCCCATTATCACTATGACATTTGATGCCCTAGACAGTGTGACTAATATATTGCCTTTGCCAACACTTATCAAGAAAATTATAAAATGTTATCAAGTTATCCATCTTTGTCTGTGAGCTGTGCAGTGTCTGTCTACTACTGTAATTACACGGGATGTGCATATTGAAATAAAAGATATCGGCTAGGTATCAGTGAGCCTCATCTTCAGTCTGCTTGAAATGTCTGCTTAGGACTCCTAACCTGAGCATTTGCCCTTGTCCATCTTTACTAGAAGCAGTAGATTGGACAAGGGTACACTCAACTTTATGATGAGGATAAAGAAGAGGGTTTATAGCCAAGAATTCTAACCATGGAACAGAAAATTTGAAACAAATATCATATTGGCTACAGTTTTTCCTCCAGCCAATTCCAGCAGTGAGAAGCAAGTGAACCAAACACCTAGAATTGGTATTTTTAATGTAAACTAAAAAGTGTCTTTTTCATTAATCATATTACTATTGATATAAAGACCCTACCTTAGAGTTATGGAGGCATGGATATGTTCATAGGGTGGGAATCACTGAGAGAAGGAATTATCGCAGCCATTAAAGCTAATAGTCCACAAGGATGAATATAAAACCACGCTATGTTCTATGAAGGCTATATATGTATTCTAAACTAGATAAGTCTTGGACATTTCCAAAAGCTACAGCACAAGCAAATAAAGTGAGGATAACACTCTTATGAAAAAAAAAGAAAAAGGAAAAGAAAACTGGCAAAGATGCATGCTGTTGAATTATATTTGTGTTTTTATCTATAATCTTTTTTATTCACTAGCTTTAAGGGAAATGCCTTCAAAATTCATTCTAGGCTTGAGCTTGGCTCCTTTATGTAAAGTGATAAACTGTTTTATCTGTAGATATTGCTTTATGGGAATTTTTCATTGGGTTTTTATGCTTAAACTGCCAGAGTTGTCACTGTGCCTTTATAAGGAATTGAGCAAGACTGCAAATAACTAAAAAGCAAATGCTTTCTAGTTATTAGAATCAAAACAACACATGAAAAACTGCTCACCATCACCGGCCATCAGAGAAAAGCAAATCAAAACCACAATGTGATACCATCTCACACCAGTTAAAATGGTGATCATTCAAAAGTCAGGAAACAACAGGTGCTAGAGAGGATGTGGAGAAATAGGAACAATTTTACACTGTGGGACTGTAAACTAGTTCAACCATTGTGGAAGTCAGTGTGGCGATTCCTCAGGGATCTAGAACTAGAAATACCATTTGACCCAGCCACCCCATTACTGGGTATATACCCAAAGGACTATAAATCATGCTGCTATAAAGACACATGCACACGTATGTTTATTGCGGCACTATTCACAATAGCAAAGACTTGAAACCAACCCAAATGTCCAACAATGATAGACTGGATTAAGAAAATGTGGCACATTTACACCATGGAATACAATGCAGTCATAAAAAATGATGAGTTCATGTCCTTTGTAGGGACATGGATGAAACTGGAAATCATCATTCTCAGTAAACTATCGCAAGGACAAAAAACCAAACACTGCATGTTCTCACTCATAGGTGGGAATTGAATAATGAGAACACATGGACACAGGAAGGGGAACATCACACTCTAGGGACTCTTGTGGGGTGGGGGGAGGGGGGAGGGATAGCATTAGGAGATATACCTAATGTTAAATGACGAGTTAATGAGTGCAGCACACCAACATGGCACATGTATACATATGTAACTAACCTGCACATTGTGCACATGTACCCTAAAACTTAAAGTATAATAATAATAAGAATAATAATAATAAACAGAATCTGAATGGATTGGAAGCACAATGAAAGCAGAGTCCAGCACACTGGCAGAGGGTAGGGGAAAAATGAGAATATGAATGTTATGCACTGAGGAGTTCTCACTAGGTGTACAGGGAAGGAATGTAAAACTAATTACTTTTCAGCATTGTTATTTTTTCCATGAGCCGGGAGAAAAAATATTTGTTAACATTGTCTCTTACATTTCCCTAATTTATAAATAGCCTGTAATAGAAGATCTGATAAATTGTATTATAATCCTAACGCTAAGCTGAAGCTTCATACTATTTATAAAATTCTCTACTTTTCCCCAGCTGTTTTGTATTATCTCATTTCTGCAAGATTTTCAATTCATGGATGTTATTAACTTGCCTAAGTGTTTTGGAAGAGACTACCAAATAATACCCTAGTATCTATCCATTCCTTCTGTTAAAAAAAAAAAAAAAAAACTCCTTTAATTTCAGTGGGGACTAATGGCCTGCGAGGAAGGCCCTGTATTTCCCAACCTCCCTTGAGGCAAAGCATGGTTATAGTCTTTTGAGAAATGGGCAGAAATGATGACCGCATCTTCTTTCTTAGAAATTCCAACCACTCTCTTTCCCTCTCCTATAGTCTTGAATGCAGACATGGTGCTGGTGAGATAGTTCTCTCCATTAAGAAAAAGGGAACATCCCAAAAACTGGTAAAACAATCAAACAAAAGGAGCCTGGTTCTTGAATGCCATCCTAGATCAAAGACCTCTACTTACCCTGGATAATTTGCTTACCCCTGGTCTGTCATATAAGAGAGAAATAAATTTCTACATTGTTTGAATCACTACTTTTGGCTTTCCTTGTTATAGCAACTCAGCTTATACAATTATCAATTGCATCTCAGCTATCAAGGGCAATTGTTTTACTTTTTCCTATAATGCTTACTTTTTCAATACTGTAAGTAAAGATCTAAAGAAAAGTCCAAGTGATTAGGTTCCAGAAAGAAACATATAAAAAATGTTGATACTATAAGGAAATTATTTTATATCCATTAACAAGCAACTTAACTGCCTAAGGAAATTCATCAGGATAAGCTGGAAAGCTTAAAAAAAATTAACTAAAATTTAAAATTCTCTATTTATAAAAGTGTCCCAAAATTCTTATTTTTGTAATACAAAATTTCACTTAAATAATTGCAATTCCTCAAAATCAGCAAGAGAGATTTTTCACACTTGATCTTAGCCAAAAGGCTGAGAAGCGATAGAGAAGTGAGAAGCAAGAGAGCTTTTTCAAACCACACATACTCTATAAACTTTCTCAGCTATACTGAGAAAAGTTTTGGTTGGTAGGCTATTAATTATTGCCTCAACTTCAGAGCCTGTTATTCGTCTATTCAGGGATTCAACTTCTTCCTGGTTTAGTCTTGGGAGGGTGTGTGTGCCCAGGAATTAATGCATTTCTTCTAGATTTTCTAGTCTATTTGCGTGGAGGTGTTTATAGTATTCTCTGATGGTAGTTTGTATTTCTGTGGGATCAGTGGTGATATCCCCTTTATCATATTTTGTTGCGTCTATTTGATTCTTCTCTCTTTTCTTCTTTATTAGTTTTGCTAGGTGTCTATCAATCTTGTTGATCTTTTCAAAAAACCAGCTCCTTTTTGAAGGGTTTTTTGTGTCTCTACCTGCTTCTGTTCTTCTCTGATCTTAGTTATTTCTTGCCTTCTGCTAGCTTGTGAATGTGTTTGCTATTGCTTCTCTAGCTCTTCTAATTGTGATGTTAGGGTGTCAATTTTGGATCTTTCCTGCTTTCTCTTGTGGTAATTTAGTGCTATAAATTTCCCTCTACACACTGCTTTAAATGTGTCCCAGAGATTCTGGTATGTTGTGTCTTTGTTCTCATTGGTTTCGAAGAACATCTTTATTTTTGCCTTCATTTCATTATGTACCCAGTCAGGAGCAAGTTGTTCAGTTCCCATGTAGTTGAGCGGTTTTGAGTGAGTTTCTTAATCCTGAGTTCTAGTTTGATTGCACTGTGGTCTGAGAGAGAGTTTGTTATAATTTCTGTTCTTCTACATTTGCTGAGGAATGCTTTACTTCCAACTATGTGGTCAATTTTGGAATAAGTGCGGTGTGGTGCTGAGAAGAATGTATATTCTGTTGATTTGGGGTGGAGAGTTCTGTAGATGTCTATTAGGACCGCTTGGTGCAGAACTGAGTTCAATTCCTGGATATCGCTGTTAGCTTTCTGTCTTGTTGACGTGTCTAACGTTGACAGTGGGGTGTTAAAGTCTCCCATTGTTATTGTGTGGGAGTCTAAGTCTCTTTGTAGATCTCTAAGGACTACCTTTATGAATCTGGGTGCTCCTGTACTGGGTGCATATATATTTAGGATAGTTAGCTCTTCTTGTTGAATTGATCCCTTTACCATTACATAATGGCCTTCTTTGTCTCTTTTGATCTTTGTTGGTTTAAAGTCTGTGTTATAAGAGATTAGCATTGCAAGGAGCTGGTACCATTCCTTCTGAAACTACTCCAATCAATAGAAAAAGAGGGAATCCTCCCTAACTCATTTTATGAGGCCAGCATCATCCTGATACCAAAGTCTGGCAGAGACACAACAAAAAAAGAGAATTTCAGACCAATATACCTGATGAACATCGACACAAAAATCCTCAGTAAAATACAGCAAACTGGATTCAGCAGCACATCAAAAAGCTTATCCACCATGATCAAGTGGGCTGTATCCTTGGGATGCAAGGCTGGTTCAACATGTGCAAATCAATAAATGTAATCCAGCATATAAACAGAACCAACAACAAAAACCACATGATTATCTCAATAGATGCAGAAAAGGCCTTTGACAAAATTCAACAACCCTTCATGCTAAAAACTCTCAGTAAATTAGGTATTGATGGGACATATCTAAAAATAATAAGACCTATTTATGACAAACCCACAGCCAATATCATACTGAATGGGAAAAACTGGAAGCATTCCCTTTGAAAACTGGCACAAGACAGGGATACCTTCTCTCACCACTCCTATTCAACATAGTGTTGGAAGTTCTGGCCAGGGCAATCAGGGAGAAAGAAATAAAGGGCATTCAACTAGGAAAAGAGGAAATCAAATTGTCCCTGTTTGCAGATGACATGATTGCATATTTAGAAAACCCCATCGTCTCAGCCCAAAATCTCCTTAAGCTGATAAGCAACTTCAGCAAAGTCTCAGGATACAAAATCAATGTGCAAAAATCACAAGCATTCTTATACACCAATAACAGACAAACAGAGAGCCAAATCGTGAGTGAACTCCCATTCACAATTGCTTCAAAGAGAATAAAATACCTAGGAATCCAATTTACAAGGGATGTGAAAGACCTCTTCAAGGAGAACTACAAACCACTGCTCAACAAAATAAAAGAGGATACAAACAAATGGAAGAACATTCCATGCTCATGGATAGGAAGAATCAATATAATGAAAATGGCCATACTGCCCAAGGTAATTTATAGATTCAATGCCATCCCCATCAAGCTACCAATGACTTTCTTCACAGAACTGGAAAAAACTACTTTAAAGTTCATATGGAACCAAAAAAGAGCCCACATTGCCAAAACAATCCTAAGCCAAAAGAGCAAAGCTGGAGGCACCACGCTACCTGACTTCAAACTTTACTACAAGGCTACAGTAACCAAAACAGCATGGTACTGGTACCAAAACAGAGATATAGATCAATGGAACAGAACAGAGCCCTCAGAAATAATACCACACATCTACAACCATCTGATCTTTGACAAACCTGACAAAAACAAGAAATGGGGAAAGGATTCCTTATTTAATAAATGGTGCTGGGAAAACTGGCTAGCCATGTGTAGAAAGCTGAGACTGCATCCCTTCCTTACACCTTATACAAAAATTAATTCAAGATGGATTAAAGACTTAAATGTTAGATCTAAAACCATAAAAACCCTCGAAGAAAACCTAGGTAATACCATTCAGGACATAGACATGGGTAAGGACTTCATGTCTAAAACACCAAAAGCAATGACAACAAAAGACAAAATTGACAAATGGGGTCTAATTAAATTCAAGAGCTTCTGAGCAGCAAAAGAAACTACCATCAGAGTGAACAGACAACCTACAGAATGGGAGAAAATTTTTGCAATCTACTCATCTGAAAAAGGGCTAATATCCAGAATCTACAATGAACTCAAACAAATTTACAAGAAAAAAACAAACAACCCCATCAAAAAGTGGGCGAAGGATATGAACAGACACTTCTCAAAAGAAGACATTTATGCAGCCAAAAGACACATGAAAAAATGTTCATCATCACTGGCCAACAGAGAAATGCAAATCAAAACCACGGTGAGATAACATCTCACACCAGTTAGAATGGTGATCATTCAAAAGTCAGGAAACAACAGGTGCTGGAGAGGATGTGGAGAAATAGGAACACTTTAACACTGTTGGTGGGACTGTAAACTAGTTCAACCATTGTGGAAGACAGTGTGGTGATTCCTCAAGGATCTGGAACTAGAAATACCATTTGACCCAGCCATCCCATTACTGGGTATATACCCAAAGGATTATAAATCATGCTGCTATAAAGGCACATGTACACGTATGTTTATTGCAGCACTATTCACAACAGCAAAGACTTGGAACCAACCCAAATGTCCAACAATGATAGACTGGATTAAGAAAATGTGGCACATATACACCATGGAATACTATGCAGCCATAAAAAAGGATGAGTTCGTGTCCTTTGTAGGGACATGGATGAAGCTGGAAACCATCATTCTCAGCAAACTAACACAAGAAGAAAAAACCAAACACCACATGTTCTCACTCATAGGTGGGAATTGAACAATGAGAACACCTGGACACAGGGTGGGGAATATCACACACCAGGGCCTGTTGTGGGGTGGGGGGAGGGGGGAGGGAAAACATTAGGAGATATACCTAATGTAAATGATGAGTTAATGGGTGCAGCACACCAATGTGGCACATATATGCATATGTAACAAATCTGCACATTGTGCACATGTACCCTAGAACTTAAAGTATAATAATAATAACAATAATACAGTTAAAAAAAATTCTCTGCCTTCCCTTAAAAAAATACTCCTGCTAATCTAATGGCAGTAGGTTGTACACTTAGGATATTTGCTAATAGATTTGAAATCATCCTTAAAAACACTTCCAATCCTACAACCAAAAACAAACATCTTTAAATTGCTTTTGTGGACTCTGGATACATCTATAAGAATGAGCAAACAATGGTAGTGATACCAAGGGGAAAAAAAACCCGTGCAGAAACAAGAATAGAAATTTAACCTCAGAACCTTCTTTACAGGCCTTAGAGAGACAACATGACAAACATGGCTGTCATTAAGCATTAACAACAGAAAGACAAATACCACATGTATTCACTTAAAAGTGAGAGCTAAATAATGTATACACATGGACATAGTGTGGGATGTAGACACCAGAGTCTGAGAAAGGTGGGGATGGGAGGGGGTGAAGGGGGTGACTGATGAGAAGTTACTTCATGGGTGCAATATACATTATTCAAGTGATAGATACACTAAAAGCCCATACTTCACTAGTAGGTAATATAGCCATGTAACAGAATTGCACTTGTATTCCTTAAATATATACAAACAAAAATTTTTAAATCCTTTCATTGATATTTGAAGGGCAGTCCTCCTACTGTTAACCTACATCTTTTAAAGGTAGCTGATATCATTTTTAATGCTCAAATACATGAAAAACTCCAATGCTCAACAGCCAGCTAAAAAGAATAAGATGACAAATATGAATTTAACCATATAGCAATGAAGTCTTTTGTATATTTATAACCCAGTGTAACTTTATCAAAGAGAAAAAAAGCCCTGAATACTCTATCATATTCAAGATGATAAAGGCACCAGGTAAAATTCTGTCAAGTACATAATAAACTTATTATTTCTTTTTTATTCCTGCAAGCATAATTCTTTTTAGTCTGTCTGAGAACAAGAATACATCTACGTCTCCACAAAACATGAACATTTCAATAGACATAAAATAATTTAAAGACTGCATTAAGGAGATTGAAGACTTCTACTCAACAGATGATGGAGAACCTAGAAGTGTGAATATTTATGCAAGCTTCAAATACAAGGAAATTGCCAGTACATGAGATTATGTTTACACATAGAACATCCAAATTGGAATTCACTCTGAGCGGAATTCTTCTTTCCGAGTAAGTGTCAACCTAGAGTCAATGAGAGATAAAATAAAATATTGGAAGATGAGGGAAAAGGACAAATTGTCCCAAGTAAAATAATAAAGACAGAAAAAGCATAGATAACTTGAAGGAAACCGTTCAATTTTGTAAAACTGATGGGTTAAAGACTCACACTGTCCAATTTGTCAGAGTTGCTGTCACGCCGCCTGGCACAAAGTGGATTCTCATAGAACGTTAGCTTCCTCCCTCCTGCTCACCCTTCTCCTTTCATTCTTTAATAATTTTTATTTGTTCAATTCCCAGAACTGCCTGCTTCTGTCTGAAGACAATGTAAGCCCTTTTGTGAGCTCTTCATACAATGAGTCAACACAGGATTTTTTCTTACCACATCCCCTCACAGTGTCTTCCCATAATAGGAACCAAGAACACAGACCCTATGCTTGTAGTTAATGCTTCCACGCACACTCCACATTCCCAGAATGTCCCTTTGGCAATGGCTCCCTCTTTCATGGATCAGCAATATACTCTTCTCTATACTTTTCTCCATCTCTCTTTAATCATATTTGAACTTCTTTTCCAAAACTCTAGTTTTGCCTTCATAGTGTTTATTCTTCCATTCAATGTCAAACTCATAGCACATAGGTCCTCCTCCTACTGGTCCTAAATGTTTTCCACTTCTTTCTTTAACATTTATTTTCTATGCTGATATAAATGAAACTGTTACCTCAAATCTCAATGATGATCTTTCTAAGTATATTTAATGTTTCTGTAACATTTAGCTGAAATGTCAAACCTGAAATTTCTTGATTTCCCAAACTCTGCACTATGGTTATTTTTTGTGCTTCAGTTTTCTTTTCTGTAAAGCAGTTTGAACCAATGAATACACTTGAAACACTGAGAACAGTACATGGCATATAAAAACAGTACATAGAACATAAAAGCTGCTAAATATTTTTTTATTTCCTTAGTTCCTATGTTTAAAGCATCCTGTCTTCCATGTGTAGACCCAAAGTCTAAGATATCTTCCCTCTGTTCATTTTATCATTCAAATGGCAGCCTATTTATTCTCACAATTCTCCACATACACAACTCCCAAATGCATCTCCAATCTTGACCTCTTTCTTATACCTCTATCCCATTTTTTTTCTGGGATTTTTTTTGGTATGTTAGCATTTTTAAAGATTTTCTAATTGACAGATAAAAGTATATATATTTGTTGTATACAACATGATATTCTGAAACACATGCACATTTTGGAATGGCCAAACCATTCCACAATGAATACATGCATTACTTCACATGATTGTCAATTTGTGGTGAAAACACTTAAAATCTACTCATTCCATATTTTTGTTTGCCCACTTGAGCCCTTCACTTGTATGTCCTTACCAGCTATGCAAACGCATCAGATCCCAAACTAAAATCCTCTTATTTCCAAACCCAGCTCTTCTTAGGAACCAATTCTACAGATTTTAAATACTTTATTTAATTTTAAATTTCTTAATAACTACACCTGCTATAGTATGTAAACTAGCTCTATTTATTCCTATTTCATAATATCTATGTTATCCATTTTAGCCATTCCTTTAGTTCAGATTTAAGAATTAGCCCATACAATAGGTAGAACAACAATGTAATTGTTCTTTCCAGTAGTCCCTCTTTCCCCTCAAAGCCCTTAACATATCACTGTCAAGCCATTATTTCCGTAGTGTGTCTATTATTGTCATTCTTGCTGAAAGCCATGATTCAGTCTATAGTCTCTGCTTTGTAAATGTTTTGCTTTCGCTGGACTCTGTCCATCTGAAACTTTGCTTCTTACTGTATTATGACCTTCACCCTTTGGTCCAGCCCCTGGCCTGCCTTTTTATTCTGTACTATGCTGCACTGTGCTATTCCTCTCACTTCCACTCACTCTCTTTCTCCTTCTGCCTTCTAATTGATAAATTCTACACTTAATTCAAGATTTGTTTCCAACTTTTACGTAAAGCTTTCTCCAACTTATATTGAATTTTGTTTTCCCCAAATCTCCCATACTTAATCCAAAGAAAAAATTGGAAGATTCTGCACAGTTTTTATCTTCTGATATACATGGTAGTCTATCTTTAGCAATTCATCACCTTATTTCAAGCATTGATATTGCTTTAGGGTCTCGCTTTAAATTACTAACACATGAGAGGGAAGAGATCAAATGATAGTATATCACATGGGAAAGGGGAATTGTTAAAAAGGGATAGAAGTTGGATACTGTTTACAGATGTGTTCAATTTTTAATAATTCAGAGTTATTTATTTCTGTATGATTTCCTTTGTGTGTATTACACTTTAATAAAAAAGCTTTTAAAAATAAGAGGACTACGAAAAAAAAGTATGCAATACATGTTAAGACAATTGCATCTACTTCCCAGTTTTGTCTAAGATCAGTCCTGGGGGCGAGGGGGAGGGAAATAGGAAAATAATAATCCACAAGGGTCAACAGGAGTGTTGGGAAAAAAAAGAGAACAAGAACCTTACCAATGACTACCAGGAATTGACCTGAGGAGCAGAGGCACTGCACCAGATGACAGGCACTGATTACCCCTTGAATCTATTTTTACTTGGGGGAGGCATAATTCCTTCAGGCTCTATCTCAGCTTAAAGGAGATGTTCCTTAAATCCATCCACTTCCCTTGGCTCTGGCTGATTCTATGCTTGCCAAAGCCATCTATTACTAACAGATTGGGTTTCCCACATATATTGATGTCAAAAAAGTGGTGTGGTAAGAAAACAGCTAGTACCAGTTATAGACTGCACTAGATGCATCTTCCTTTATAAATAACTTGGGCACTGGTTTACAGATCAGTCTCTTCAGAGTCTGATTACTGTGAATCAATTCATCAACATGTGAACAACTTAGAAGTGCTGTTAGTTAAGGAAAAACTCTGAAACAAAGAGGAAAATGACACACAACAGTATAAAAAACTATTGAATTATCCGCCTCCTGACAAGTCCTCTCAGCAACATTAGAAAAAACGGGGGGGAACACAAGAAGAAGGATATAATCTCTATTCTTAAAGGTAGTATTGAGAAAAGTTTTTTTGGTAATTCCTGTACAGAGGGTAAAAAAAATCTATTTTTTTTCAATGAACAACATAGTTTTTGTTTACCCAGTGTCTATTCTACCCTTCATCCAAAAATAGTACTTTGAAGGAATTTTGCTAGGGGGAACCACTTTTTCCTATATCTCAGTCTTTATCGTCTGAGTAGAACTGAAACCATTTCCCTCTTCCCTTAGCATGAGCTGAGATTGCCTAATGAGCAGATTCCACTTATCTAACCAAAACAACTGCCCATGACCCACATAATTAGGATTTCTGCCCTGATGACAAGCTGATACAGGCTAGCACAATTTAAGGCTGGATTTCCTGATGCCCATCTCACTGCCACAGGAGAAGATTGCATAAGCCCAATGCTGGAATCAACAGATAGAATGACCATACACTTTATCATCCATAGTAGAACACTTCTGTCAGGACAAATGCTAAACAGGCTGCCAGGCAAACAACATAAACCTGGACTATCTCATATGGACAGGAGTACAGTTACCTGACCGAGAGATGAAGACAGGCAGCATCTTTACAGTAAAAATTGAGTATCTGGATCTACACTCTTAGATTATGGAGCCAATAAATTCCTATTTTGCTAATTCCAATTGGAATATGGCTCTCTGTCTTGAAATTTAGTTGACTTAGAGAAAGAAGCTGTTTAAAAAAAATCTGTCATTAAGAGTCATTCAGTGAGATAATAGAGCCCACAGGCTGGGAACTTGAGGAGGAAAGGGGAGCTATTGGATTCACAGACATCCAGTGTTGATGTCAATTTTGAGGTTTCCAATAATTAAATATAAATAACATAATGTGCTTTACGTGCTTAGAAGATATAAGTATGAAATGTAATCATTAGAAATTTTAGCAAAACAAATTTTCCTAGGGTGGTGTCTACCAAATCAATTATATTATTAATAAAATGATTCATCAGTGTCCTCCAAGTTAAGACGATAAACACAAAGGTAATACATGGATCAAAATCACTTGATATAAGGCTCACCTTTATTGATTCCATCAACCAACACAGAGCTTCTATTAAGAGTGTCAATGAGCAAGCGCATAAATCAAATACAGCACATTAGCTAGTGATTTCACTGGTTTGATTAAGCAGTTAAATAAGTTACTTATAGGTTTATATTCTTTGGTTTTTTTCATTGTAGCAAGTTATGTAACATTTACCTATTGGGATTACTGTAAGACCGGATGCAATTATTTTTTAAGTCGTTCGGGCTTTAGTAAAGTTAATAAGAATATTATAATCCAACTCTTTTATTTGGATTTTGATGTTAAGTTATAAAAATAGGGTCAGACTGGCTGAAGAGCTGCTCTAGTTAGGTCTCTTTTAAGGTGCCTGTATTTCAGTGAGATCTTAACAGTCCTAGGGAAGTAGAAATGTGAATGTAAATAAAGGAGCCCTGGTGCTGGTAAAAAAAAAAAAACCCAGAAGAGAGTCAGCA
This sequence comes from Homo sapiens, assembly GCF_000001405.40. NCBI lineage: Eukaryota > Metazoa > Chordata > Mammalia > Primates > Hominidae > Homo > Homo sapiens. The sequence goes on along the minus strand of NC_000005.10, from coordinate 99,175,229 downwards.
GGTCTGGTTTTAAGACAAAGAGCTGAATAGCCCTACACAGGTCAAATAAACTTTATGGGCCTCAGTGATGATTCCAAACAGTTCAACTAATCTAGCCCACAATAGTGTTTACACATGTATCTTTAAAATGGGAGTTTTAAACTATATGTAAAATAACACTGCTGAGGTAAAAAGGATTACATGTGAGTTGGAATGTAAGGGAGATGTTTTAAAAATGGCTTGATGACAATGAAATACTATTAATGTTTAAAACATTTAGATGGAATTATTTATATTAACATTGCAAGAAAGATGTGCGAGATAAATTGTTAAATATGTGCCCCCCAAACCAAACTATATATTGTGTACACACACACACACACACACACGAATTTCAAATGAACGGAGATTATACACAATTGTTTTCTTTGAAAATAAGACATGGATGAGGGGACTCAATGATACACTGGCCTTACCTGTAACATTTGAACTTTTATGAAAATGTTATTTAACTGTGCAGTTTAAAATAATGTTTAATTGGTAGAAGATATTTAACCTGCATGATTGACACAGGGCTAGTGCTAAAAGCAGAAATATGAGATCAGAAGAAACTGGTTTGGGTGTCAGTTGTCAAATATTTAAAGAAATTAAACAGTTTGGTTTTGCACATGTTGATCTTAAGAACTATACAAATTAATGTCCGTGAAGGCATGTATCAATACAAGACTAATACTTGGATAAAAAGTCAGGTCTAGAGGTAAATTGGGGACCCTTGTGAATTAAGTCAAAATTATTGTGTGAAGGTGAGATCAAAGGGAAGAAGATTTTAAAATTCACCTCAGAAAAACCTGCATTAAAGGAATGAGAAGAAATAGTAAAGCAAGAGATTTTAAAAGAATAAACGTAAAGATAGAACATGAACTGAGAGACAGCATGGCCACAGGGTCCATGAAGAGACCAATCGATGAGGCAGAACTAATTGATGGTACCAATCACTTCCTAGAGCAAGATGAAGCCTGAGAAGACACAACTGGACTTGAGAGATCAGTTCCAGCAGAATAGGAATTTTCAAAAAGCCATGCTGTAAGGCGTAAAGAGTTAAGGAAATAGATAATAAGACAGAAGTTACAGAGCGAATAGACCTTTTTAAAGATTGATAGTGAACAAAGAAATAGAATAATAGCTAGAGGAAATAGCAGAGAAAAGAGAAGTCTTCAACATCAAGATGTCCTTGTTTTACTCAAATGCCTTTGATAGCTTCTCAGGGCCTTGTCTACTCTGGCATGCAGTTTTTCTTACCATCTGGTCCTAGCCTTTTAGCCAACTTCATCTCCAGAATTAGTCTTGAACTTTATAAAATTTTTTTTTAATTTTATTATATTATACTTTAAGTTTTAGGGTACATGTGCACAACGTGCAGGTTTGTTACATAAGTATACATGTGCCATGTTGGTGAACTTTATAAAATTATCTCTTACTGCCACTGTAATTGTTTACTCCCATAACCAACTTAAAATTTTTCTTGATGCCATTTTCCCCATCTGAAATACCCTTTTGTCCTAACTCTTACAATCTGGATAATTTCTAGCCTTTCCTCAGGATTATCTGTAATTTACATTTTATATTATACTGTTCCTGGTACAGTTTACAGTAAGCAATCAATGACAGTTGTAATGATGATAATAATGATGATTCTTTTTTTTTGTTTGTAGAGACAGGGTCTCCTATGTTGCCCAACCTGGTCTTGATCTCCTGGCCTCCAAAATGCTGGGATAACAGGTGTGAGCCACTGCGCCCAGCCATGATGATGATTCCAAACAGTTCAACTGATCTAGCCCACAATAGTGTTTATATATATAAATACAGGTATAAATGCTGAAATACATGTATTCTATCATTAGCATTATGTACATATGCATATATGCATACACAGAGAGATATACAGATAAACATTGCCCTTTTAATATTTGTTAAAGGACTTTTAATATTTGTAAAAGGGCTAGACAATGTTTCACTATCTCATATTTCTTTGTCTTGACTCTCAAAGTATATTCTAATTTCTTAGAGATCTAGGTAATGTCATATACCTTTTTCATAATCCTTACTTTTCTAGCTTAATGCATAAAACAGGCCACCAATGAATATCCATTTTAAGAATAAATTTACCTTCAGATTGTTGTTTAATTGAGCTCTACATCCCCAAATGTCTATTGTTTCTATTCTTTTATGTACTTTTTTTCTATTTGCTTGTTCTTGCCTGGGATATTTCCATAAATAGTTTATTTTACTGAATCTAAGAAACCATCGATTTTAAGATGCACTGTCATTTAAATCAGCTCCTGATTTTACGGTGTACCATCATTTAAAATCTGCCAGTTTTACATAACATACTATCATGTTATTATTATCACTTACAGGATGCACCCAGATTCCAAAGATGCTAAAAAGTGAAAATAAGAAAATATGCCTCTTAGAATTAATGCAATATGATAGTTAATCTAGGGAATATTTTACTACAAAATATTGGAAGCTTATTAGTTGACAATTATTGGGGAAACCTTTATTGGTTCTTTAAATAAAATGTGTATTTGTGGAGATAATAATTTCAAAGATGTTAACCTTATATCATTACCTCACAGTTATATCAAAATAAAGTACAGAGAAGTTCTAATGAAAATATATATTTAAATCAAAATAATATGGCTGAGACAGATTTAGTATCAATTCAGTAAGTGCCAATCAATTATAAAAAGAACTTTTTCTTTACTTTTTAAAATTACTATTGTCTATGAACTAGAAAAATTCTGAGTTCACTTTCTCTGTTGAAAACACATCCCTGACTACACTTTCTGTCTTTTCTCTCATATAAGTGAAATTTAAAAGTAACTAAAAACACTAATCACCTACAATGAAAATACTAAACATGTATTGAATTCATAGAGAAGCATGCATAGGACAAAACTAATGGAGAAATATCTTGATGTCATGAACCATTGTTCGTGATATGAAGATAGCAACGTCATCTCCTGTAGGAGACAAACCTAAGGTGGGCAACAGCTCATAGCCAGGGGAACTCTGTAGGGCCAATGAAACCCTGTTGATTCTAAGCCTTTTTTCCCAATATGAAAAGATATTTTTCTACGAATTATGAGACACATAAACAGTGGAAGATATGTTCCAACTGTACTAGACCAAACTTATTGAATTCTTCCTGGAAGTTAGCCAGATGTTAAAAGCACCCATATGGCCTGATGATTAACTGCCATCCAGAGAAGCAATTGTGCAGAACCTCAAGAGAATGGGTTCATCTGATTGGATGACCTGATTTCCTTTTGGGCTAGCAAGTCTTTCAGTAGCTAGACAAGACCTTCAGCCCATCTGCTGGATATTTCCCTGCAAATTCCAAGGAAAGCAGTTCTCAAAGGCTTAGTACAAACTAGGGAATCATTAAAGAGCCTCTGCAACTGCAAGACAAAATTTATCACCAAACTATGCCTTTACATTTTTCCTTTTCATACAATTTTATTTTTTCCTGAGTGATTTATTTAACTTATTAAACTAGATCAGGTCTTTCCTAGGCACAGAATTATAAAACATCAGGAACTACCTGCTGTAATGATTCCTTGTCTCCAGCAGGACTTTTGACATTTCCATAATAGTTTAAATAAATGCCACTTGATTGTTGAGGACCTGCCTTTATGTTTGCCAGATGTGAATGTGTCTTTATTAGTGCAAGCAAATCAACCAAACCAAAATTTTAATCTGTCTAATCAGCTACAGTTCTTTACATAATTCAAACAAACATTCAAGCTCTAAGAATACTAGTGTTCCTGTATTTCTGACCAAACAAACATCTGGATCTTAACCTGAATTATTAAAACAAAATATAGACACAGAATACAGTTTTTGAATGCTGTAGAGATTGAGGAAACCGTGGCCTGCAGGCCAAACCAGGTCTACTGCCTATTTTTGTATAGCCTACTAAGAATTTTTTTACATATTTAAATGGTTACTTGTAAATAGTTATAAAAGTACCTACATAATATCCTCATTTTTGTCTGTTGGCCTAGAAAGATTAAAACATTAACTATAGGGCCTTTACAAAATAGTTTGCTGACCTCTGCTATAGAACATCAAAGTTTATATTAGAAAGCTGTCTTTGGCTCTATGACTTTATTCCTGAGTGCTACAGCTGTAAAATCCATGCAAAATACACCCAGACTAGCAGCTATACAGCCTAAAACTACTGATTTCAAAGTCCCTGCAAAACAAATTACAGGCCTTCTAATCGGAGAAAATCCATGCTCATTCTACCTAGAGGCCAATATAATGAAAAATCACCAAGTAGTACGTGGACTCCATCGCTCTCAAATTCTTAAAGATTCAGTTATACTTATTTTTATTCTCCAGGACTAGATTCTGTAATAGGTCCTCTTAATAATTGATTTCTGTGAACTCCTTTTTCTATGGTTTATCAATGTAGGAAGTGGGGAAAGGAGACAGATGATTATCATGACATCCAAGCAACTCTCTCTGGTCATGATTATTAGAACCATGTTTTGTTGCTCCTTTCCTATGTCTTATCAGCCATGAGCTTTTAGGCTTATACTCAAAGGTATTATCATTTGATATTTCTTCCTAGCCCAGTATCCCAAAAAATCCATTGATTTTTATCTAGTTTTTATAAAGGACCAAACACTTTTTTATTTTTATTGTGAATTTTGGTTTGCTTTCTTAATAGATACCACTTTTGCAAGAGTACAAGACCTGTCTTGAATTGTTTAGCTAATAAAAACAAGAGCTATAATTAAAACAGCACAAAAACAACCTGGGATATGATAGGTAGAATTGCTCCAGACATACATACAGGCCATATCATTTAAAGTGTTGAGCAGAACCAGGATTTAAACTCTACACTGATGTCAGGTAGAATGTTAAAAATAGAATCAAATTGAATTATCCAACTCCCTAACACATACATATCCTAATAACTTATATTAGTAACAAGACACAGTGATGTTTACAATTCATATTCAATTTGGAGCTTAAAATATTTAAAAATTGAAGCAAATTATATGACGATGAAGCCTAAAATGTAGGACCACTAGGAAAATCTGGGCCTGTTTTATATGCATAATGAAGAGATGACCTTCAAAAAAGAAACAGAATATATTAAATCTAACAAGATAACATTATTTAGAAAATACTTGAATATGTGTAACTGCTTTCATGCCCTTGGGAAAAAATGTAAATACAACGTAGGGCAATCAAACCAATTTTGTTGCCATCTATGAGACAATCTCAACCTTACCAACATTAACTAGCCTAGATAGATACCAAATACAAGAAAATAAAACAAGATTTAAGATTCAAAAAGAAGTTTGAGACTTAGAATTGGCTGAAAGGTCACACATTTTATCACTATATGCTCATTTAATCAGCCACCAGTTTCTGAGCATGTGGAAGTGGTAATAGCAAATCTTTTCCAAGTGATCTCCTATATTTAGATGCTTTCTATTCCCTACATCAATAAAACAAAATGAGGAGAAAATCATTCAGGAAACAAGTTGCTCACACGGGCAAGTAAACTGTAAGAGACCTCATCAAACTTTAACCGCTATTTACTATTGAATTGCCAATGACACTTGGTGCCTCACATTCAATATTACACTTCATGGAATGTGTCCCTGTCTTTTGATAAGTGAAAAAGTAGTCATTAACCACAAAGAAACAATCAACTTGCCAACAGGGTGCTGCTCCGAATCTTAACAGGAAGAATTAAACATTCAAGTGGAAAATTTCACAAGATAAAAGGAAGAGTGCCACCTTCTGTTCTCCAAAGGAATGCTGGATTCATTTAAAAAATAAAAAATAAAAAGAAAGAAGAAAAAAGAAATAAAAGAAAAAGAAAATAACCAAGTCTTGAGCTCCAGCTGAGATTCTATTGAAATTATCTGAAATATTCCAAAAGAAAAAGGATTCTGCTTTAGAAAAATCATCCCCAAATCCTGAAAAATTATGTATTCAATAAAAGAAAGGTGATGACTGCCTTTCTTATACAAGTAACGTGATTCCATGTAACCCTATTTTTCTGTAAATAAAATACAACAGGACAATGTCTTTGTTTCCAGATCAGATAGTAGGAGACACCATTAGTGGTCTTTGCAACACCACTACATCACAGGTAAAGTTTCTACTTTATAAGAGTTCCCCTTCCTTAAGTTATCTGCTTTTTTCTTTGTTTGTGTGTTTTTTTAAATCAAAAAATATTCAATCCTATGAATAATAGGTACCACGTTTTCTGGAGTTCAAACTGATTCCTCAATTAAACACTGATGCTTATGATCAGAGCAGGTATATTTATCGTTATATTATGTAACCTGAAAGGGAAAAAATGCTTCACAGTGATTTTAATGAACCACTAAAAGATATTTCTTACACAGAAAAACACTCTTTTAAATATAGCTTTCTTAGTCTGTGTAATCATCAAGGTCATGAATGGGGTTTTTTACAAAAAGCTTTGAAAATAATTAGGTTGCTCTTTTGAAAATGAAACTTTGAATTTATGATATATGTGATATAATTATATTTGGCCACAAAAGAGTAAAGTGTGTGTTTATATCACCTGTATTTAATTACCTATACTCTCCCTTTAGCTGTGTGCTACTGTCTAGAAATAATAAACCATCATCTACAATTTTTAGCATTATTATATCTCAGTCTGCACTCAGATATCATTAATATTCAGGCCAGAATATCCATTGGCCATTGCCTGTGTGCTGCGCTATTGAGGTCCAGTGATCAAAATAATAAAGAACTGCGTGTTAACTGAAAGCAGAAAGTATTGGAATGCACTGCAGGTCAGAGAATAGCAAAAAGGGAGAAATAAAATGTTCAGTTTTGTTTACACTTATCATTGCAGAATGTGTACTTCTCCATGCACAGAGGATCATTCCAGGTAATGTTTTTAAGGGAATATTAATGTAAAAAGAAAAATACTGGAGAATTAGGGGATATCACAAATTCAAAGGCAAGCGTTAGTTTGTGGTTGCCTTTGTATGGAGACAGTTACTTCCATTCTCTTTGCAAAGTGGAATTCCTACATCAAACGCACTAAGATCTCTTTCTTAACCAAATCGTAATTTTAGGTTTTATAAAACTTAGCTTCAACATTGTCCTAAGTTCCTCAGTCTTGGTTTATGACAGCAAAAAGAATCAGAGAACTCAAGTGTACAAAAATGTATTTAGCATAATTTCTATAACTTTGACACCATATAATAGCTTAACATAATAATCCTGGCTTCATTTAAACATAGGGTTTATCTCCCAGTGCCCCCCTACTTAAAAAGTACAAATGATTCAAAAGAAAAAAATAAGAACTTTATTTAAGATACATACCCAAAGAGGATGAGAGAAGGCAACAGCAAAAAGAGAAGATAATTTTAAAAGCTATAAAGCTAAAGGACATGGAAAAATCTAAAACGCCCAGCAGTAACAGAATCTTTTTAAATTGTGGTCTAATCAAGCTATGGCACACTCTCACAGCAATGAAATGGATGAAATGGATTACAGCTACACACAACAGCATAAATGAACCTAATGATCGTAATATTCAGCAAAGAAGTAAGACCCAAATGATTATGTATAATCTATTTCCACTGATGTCAAGCTCAAAAAGGAGGCAAAACTAAAATATATTGCTTAGAGAGGCATTCATAGGCGGCAAAAAAAATACAAATGGAAGCAAGAAAGTTATTCACAAAAATATCGGGAGAGTGGTTGTTTTCAAAGGAGAGGGTAGTAAAATCACAATGGAATACATACAAGGACTTTTTTAGAGGCAGTAATGTATTACTTATTGACTCAGATGGTGGTTAAACTCCTATCACTTTAACATTGTTTGTTATGCTACACATGTATACTTTATGCTCCTTTCTATATGTGTGTTCTTTATCCTTATGTAAGGGCTAAAAGCAAAGGAGACAGATAAACGCAACAAACCAAAGCAAGCTAAAAGCTTATGACTGAGGGGCAGAGAGAAGAGATATGCTGAAAAGCAGGATTATTCTAAGAGCATAACTCCAGAAAGATTCAGGAGTTGGATAGATCTGGTACTTCTGAAGGTAGGAATAAAGATGAAACTAGAAAAGGAAGTATTTGAAAGTCTATGTAAGAAACAATGCACCCCTAAATCCCACATGTATCTGTGTAGTCAGGTGACTTCCCTGATTCATGCTGCCAGGGGGCTGAAGGTTGGAACAAATAATTCTGGACTCAGAGATCCAGACACTGATGAGAAGAGGAGCATGTACTGAAAACAAGAGAATTAGATGAAAGAAAACTGGTGCATGAATGCATCATCAGTCTCCATCCCCAAGTTGGCTTCTAGAATGCTGGCAGACAGGTTTATTTACTTCCACTCCCGGCCCAAGTAGGAGATGAGAAAGTTCTCTTGAAAAAGTGATAGCTCAAGAGAAAATTCGGGGTGCCCCAACAAAACAGAGAACTCTCTATTAATCACCCTGAGAAAAACCCAAGTCTAGACAAGTTTTGTTTAAGAACTACAGCTTCCAGTTTTTTAGGTTTTCACACTTAGAAATTACCAAGAATCCCCAAAGATTTGAGAAAAATCCCCTTCTAAAAAGGAAAAAATAGAATGAAGAAAGCAAACACACAAAAAAGAACTCAGAGAAAAACAAAAATAATGAAAAACAAAACAGGAGGAAACTTCAAATACCTATAATTAATATCCTCAGAGAAATAGAGAAAAATTGCAGCTGTATAATAAAATGGGTGAATTTTATAGCATATAAATTATACCTCAGTAAAGGCCTTTTAAAAAAACATACAAATAGGTTATGATTAAAATTAAACTTCAGAAAAATAAAAGGAATTGAAAAATTAAAAATGCAATGGAAGGGTTGAAAGATAAAATTGAGATCTCTAAGACAACAAAGCAAAAGTCGAAAAAATGAAAACAGGAGAGAAAACATTTTAAAATTAGATTACTGGAGGATTTCCACATCAGACTAAAATCTGACAGAACAGAGAAAATGCAGGCAAGGATATTATTAAAGAAATCATAAAAGAAAATTTCCCCAAACTGAAGGACATATCCTCAGGACCAAAATAACAGTAATAATAATAATAATTCCATAAAAAATTCCCCATAGCTTCAAATACCAGCAATAAAGTAGCGCCAAAATTTCCAAAGGAAAAAAAGCAGGGCACATAAAAGAGACTGAGATTCAGACAGCATTGGACTTTTTAACACTGAATATAGATGACACCAGAGTAGTGCATTCAAAATTATAGAAAAAGTATGTTTCCAATATAGATTTCTTTAGCCAGCCAAATATATGTCAAACATAAGGGTGGTACAAAGACATTTCATGCACTTTATGTCTTAAAAAGGTATTTCTCATTTATCTTGTATTAATAAACTACTAGAGGATATGTTCCGCCAACATAGGGGAAAAGAGTGAGGAGCACAGGGATTCAAGTAATAGGAGATCCAAAAGAGGGAAGTGATAGGATTTCTAGGGATAATGGTGAAAGAATATTTCAGGATGAGTGCAGACCCAGAGAGCATGTGGTCCAGATTAGAACAGAAAACAAAACTTTTAGAAAAAGACACCTCATATGTATACACCATGGAATACTATGCAGCCATAAAAAGGAACAAGATCATGTCCTTTGCCAGGACATGGATGAAGCTGGATGCCATTATCCCCAGCAAACTAACACAGGAGCAGAAAACCAAACACCACATGATCTCACTTATAAGTGGGATTGGAACAATGAGAACATGTGAACACAGGGAGGGGAACAACACACACTGGGGCCTGCTGGGGGGTGGGGGGATGGGGAGCATCACGACAAATAGCTAATGCATGTGGAGCTTAACACCTAGGTGATGGGTTGATAGGTGCAGCAAACCACCATGGCACATGTTTACCTATGTAACAAACCCACATGTTCTGCACATGTATCCATGTATCCTGGAACTTAAAATTTAATTTAATTTAATTTAAAAAGAAAAAGACACCTCAAAGGAAATATGAATAAGTAAAATTCATAGTTCATTCAATGTGTTGGAAGGGCTTGAGAGAAGAGTGATATTTTAGGCAGAGGCATTGGGATAATAAGTATCCTGGTGATAAATATTTCAAAAACAAAGCGAATACTAAAAGGTATTGATACTCATATTTCTTACACAAAGGAAGAGAATTAATACAGATAAGTCAAAGAAAGCAAATGAAGAAATGGGAAATTACCAAGACATTATACTTTTTAGCTTCAAAATGTATGAAATGGCCCTAAAAATGTAAACACTGAATTTAGATGTAATCAATGATATAACTCTAATAGAAAAATTGAGAAGACGAAATGAACGAAAATTAAATACTTATATCTTATAGTATGAAGTCCACTAATAATAACCATTTCACTTTCCTTTGGTTTTGAAACAAATTACCACAAATTAAGTAGTTTCATCAACACAAATTTAGTATTTTATAATTCTAGAGGTCAAAAGTTCAAACCTTCAACCAAGATATGCTGCAGGGCTGTGCTCTTTTCTGAAAGTTGTAGGGAAAATTCTTTCCTTGCCTTTTTCAACTTCTAAAGGCTGCCCCCATCCCTTAGCTTGTGGCCCCCTTCCTCCAGTTTCAAAGCCAGCAACAACCAGGTGAGTCTTTCTCATAGCATATCACTTTGACACTGATATCTCTGCCTGCCCCTTCCACGTTTAAGAGAATCTTGTGATTGAGGCACACCTGGATAATTTAAGATAATCTCTTTAGGGCCAGCTGATTAGCAACTGCAATTCCTTCTGCTAACTTAATTCCCACTTGTCATGGAACATAACATGTTTACAGGTTCCAGTGATTAGGATTGTAGACATATTTGGGGCTCATTATTCTGCCTATTATGACATGTAAAACTGAAAACCAAGGGTGTTATTTTGAGGCCACACACTGTGGCTCCCACTTGTAATCCCAGCACTTTGGGAGGCCAAGGTGGCTGTATTACTTGAGGTCATGAATTCGAGACCAGCCTGGCCAACATGGTGAAACCCCATCTCTACTAAAAATACAAAAATTAGCTGGCATGGTGGCATGCACCTGTATTCCCAGCTACTTGGGAGGCTGAGGTGGGAGAATCACTTGGATCCAAGAGGCAGAGATTTCAGTGAGCTGAGATTGTGCCACTGTACTCCAGAGTGAGCAACAGAGTGAGACTGTCTCAAAAAAAAAAATAAAATAAAAAGTGATTGGGATTATTTTGAAACATGTAAATAACAAAAGAATTAGTTGAAAATGGTTGCATCTAAAGAATCCGGGGAATGCGGAGGGAGTAGCAAGGGACTACTGTATTTCATCCTAAAATTTGTAGAACTATTTGATTTTAAAAATTATCTACAGAAGTTACTTTCATAAGACAAAAATAAGTAATTATTTGTAGTAGTGTTCTCTTTCCTTCTGTTTTTAGTACCCATCAGCAGCATCCACAAAATAGGCTTCTGAAGTCAGTATCACAAATAAGAATTGGTTTTATTTTTCAATAGCTTTTGAGGTACAAGTGAGTTTTGGATATGTGGATGAATTGTATAGTGGTGAAGTCTGAGATTTTACTGTAACCATCACCTGAGTGGTGTACATTATACTCAATATGTAGTTTTCTGTCCTTCAACCGCCTCCCACCTTCCCATTTCTGAGTCTCCAATGTCCATTATAACACTCTGTATGCCTTTGCATACCCATAGCTTAGCTCCCACTTATAAGTGAGAACATAGAATATGTGGCTTTCCATTCCTGAGTTACTTCACTTAGAATAACGGTTTCTAGCACCACCCAAGTAACTGCAAAATAGACTATTTTGTTCTTTTTATGGCTGAGTAATATTCCATGGTGTATATATACCACATTTTTTTATCCACTCATTGGTTGATAGGCAGTTAGGTTGGTTCCATGTCTTTGCAGTTGTGAATTGTGCTGTGATGAACATACATGTGTAGGTATCTTTTTGATACAATGGCTTCTTTTCCTTTGGGTAGAGGCCCAGTAGTAGGATTACTGGATTGAATGGTAGATCTACTTTTAATTATTTAAGAAATGTCTAAATTGTTTTCCATAGAGGTTGTACTAATTTACATTCCTACCAATGGTATATAAGTTCCCTTTTCACCACATTCATGGCAACGTTTATTGTTTTTTGACTTTTTAATAATGGCCATTCTGGCTGGGGTAAGATGTTATCTCACTGAGGTTTTAATTTATAGCAAATAAGAGATTCGAGTATGAAGATTTTGATTTGCAAGATGCATATTTTTTCTTGACAGAAGAAAGTTCCCTTGAGTCTCAGGGGAAGGCACAGAAGGAAGCTTGGCACTGGTGTGTTTTTGTTATTAAAACAGCCTAGCAAGAATATGAGGATGAACTAAATGAGCCTCTCTCCAAGAGACCACATGACAGTCTTTCTGGCTGGGAGAGAAAAAGGAGTTGGATTGGTAATGAGATCTAGCACAAAGCCAATAAACCTGGTGGGGTGGAGGGAGCCAGTAGGTAGGAAGAAGGAATTCAGCAATAAGATACTGCCAAACCCACCTATGGTCCATACTAAGAAATGTGTGCAAGTTGAAGCAAAGTCTATAGACTGCCCATCACTTGCTCTGTGATAAAGAGACATCTTAGCTTTCTAGTTGATGTCTGGTGAGTGCCTTCCATCAATGCTCTTGGATCAGCCAGAAGTGACATGAATAATTGCCCCATTATTTTTCTGAACTTTATGAACTGCTCCAAGGTGACACTCCTCAAGACAGTCATAGGTCTCCTCAACTAGACAGTGCTGAAGTATCCATATTACACTATTGCTGCCTTTGGAAAATAATTTTTCATAGCTTGTTTCACCTGTGTATACATCAATCACACTTATCCCTCTATCACAGGGTGTGCCATCTACTTATACAATGGTCTGGTCCCTTTCTTATCTATATGCTTTGCTGTACTATGAAATCCTGGATATCAGAATACATGGCTTTCATCCCTATATTCCCAGAAATTACAAAGGTTCTGACGCAGGAGGTACTTAATACATTATCACATAATGAATAAATGCTTAGGATGTTCCCATCTAAAACTTGTCCTAAAATTGATACACTAAATGGTCTGATATTTCTTTTTATACAAAAAATAAATCAGCAAGGCCAGGCATGCTGGCTCACACCTGCCAGCATGGGAGGCTGAAGCAGGTGGATCACTTGAGGTCAGGAGCTGGAGACCAGCCTGGATAACATGGTAAAACCTTGTCTCTACTAAAAATACAAAACTTAGCCCGGCATGGTGGCACATGCCTGTACTCCCAGCTACTTGGGAGGCTGAGGTGGGAGAACCACCTGAACTGTGGAGGCGCAGGCTGTAGTGAGCCAAGATCATGTGACTGCACTCCAGCCTGGGTGACAGAGCGAGACCCTGTCTCAAATAAATAAATAAATAAATAAATAAACAAATAAATAAATAAATAAATAAATCGGCTGCATTAGCAGGTAATAAAGCAAGAGCATATTAATTTAGCCTAAATGGCTATAACAAAATGACCTCAAAAATATTGAAATTGGTTTTCAAATTTAATCTCTTCTCTTTAAGAGATGTGTACTAAAATTGTTGCTCACAAGTCAGACAGATGTAGGTTCAGACTTTGTCTTTGACACATGCTATCAATGTAACATTGAGTTAATTATTTTATTTTGTGTGATATTATTTGCTCTTTTAAATATGGGTGAAATAATACCTATTGCATAGGATGATGTATTAGTGAGATACTATATGTGAAGAACAGTGCAAAGATTAAATGTATATATCCAGTAGCAAAATATGTTATATGAGATCTTATGATAATGCAGATGACTGAGGAACTCTGTAACCAGCAACCTATGTCTTCAATATTTGTAAGACCATCCCTAATTATATGAAGAAATGGTTTATTATATACATATTATTCTATTTACTGAAAAAAAACTTTTTTCATTGGAATTGAAACATATTTTATATGCATTTCATTGGGATTGAACGTATTTTATATGTATTGTTTCATTTAAGGAAAACCATTTAATAATTTCCTTTAAATTTAATACTGTGTTACTTTTTTATAGAAGAAACTTACAATATAATTAACACAAGAAAGCTTGGAAATAGAAATTACGGTTACCATCCCAAAGTCTAAGAAAAATGAAAGGAACATTCAAAGATAAAATTGGAAGAATAAAAATTTTAAAGCAACATTAAATATTCAGATCTGGTTTCAGTATTCAAAAAATAATGTCTTTTCTAGCCATTTTGTCCAAATGAGTTTGCCTATATAGAACATTAATTTACCCTCCAATTTGGTTCAAATGGGATTACAATAGACATAAAACGAAAGCAAATATGATAAATACATATTCAAAGCCAAAGTGATTTAATAAATATTATGGAATAACTGACTGCATAACCATCAACATCTACTAAAAGAAATCCTCTCCACCAGCTATAAATATACAGCCATACAAGACTATGTGCATAGACTGTATCTTTAAAATGATTCTAATGTTTGAAGAAGGCAATTGACCCAATAGCATTATTAAAAGACTGCACATTTTTTAAAGTATAGAGTACATGTAAGTTATGGATGTTGACTTTGTCAAGCTTAAAATTCTTCAATATCTCCAATGCTTAGACACCCATAACCAGTGTCATTCCCAGGCGGTGTTCCTAACAGCATAGGCAGTTCCTATGCTATGTTAGGCAGTTCCTAAGAGCATAATTTTAATTTTCCTTTTTACCTGCCTTGATCCATAGAGCATCAAAAACCTTCAGGTTTCCAAGCCTTCCATTTGCTCAAAACTTCCTGTCAGGTTAATTGCAGGTTTAACTCTGTTCCAGGCCCTGTGCTAAGTCCTTCCCATGCATTAGGCAAAATCATCTTCACAAAAAAGTATATGTCAAAGGGACAGAAAATTGAGGTTTAAATAACTTGCCCAATGTTGATACAGTTGCTAAATGATCGCACTCAGGCTTGTAGTCCAAATTCACAATCACTACATTTTGTGGTTGTCAAATCATTTCTTAGCATTAGAACAAAAGCTCATTCAGAAACTCAATATGTACAACGGATAAACTTGGGCCAAACCTGTTTGGTTGGATTAAGATAAGATGTTGATGATCTAAAGTTACTCTTTTAGATGGCTCTCAGCCCTTCAGGAGGAGCTCAAAGGAGACTAGATTAAAAAGCATTGCTCTCAATCCTTCATTCACCTAAAATGTACCTTCTTGAACCAGTTCTTTCTCAGAGGCATCAATTTGAAAACCATGATTTCTTCAAGGAGATATGTAGCAAATGCCTCTTGGGCCTTAACACATTCCTCTTTAACCCACATTTGTAGGACAGAGTCCAGACACCTGGCACTTCCAGGTTCCTACCACACACCAGAATCTTCTCCACTACTGAGGAAATACAAAAAAAAAAAAAAAAAAAAAAACCCTGCCTGCAAACAAAACCCAGAAGGAGCAAGGAGTTAATGTATCTAGGGCAAACTTTAAGCTGCAGAAGACGGGATTGGATGGGCAAATGCTCTGTCCTGTTTCCCAGACAGACACATGGGGCAAGCCCCTGTGGCCTGAGGGAGCAATCTCCATAATGCACCCTATACTAACTTTTCCTCTTTTCCTCTCTACACTCTCCACTCCCCAACTATTGAATCCTGGTATCACCTCACAAATAAACTGCCTCACCTAAGTCCTTGCCTCTAGCTCTGCTTTCAGGGGACTCAAACTGCATATGATGTGCCAGAGGCTATGGGGTACCCTTAAAACCAAAGGAATCTGTATCCTAACAGAAATGTTAGGGAGAGAAGTAGCAGCTCTTTGGAGCCCCAACGTCATTCTTAATATCCTTCCCACCTCTAGCCTTTTTATCTGCCTCACTAATTATACCACTACTCCCCCAATCAGAAAATTGCAGGTGGATTATAAACATAGAAATTTTCATTGATGGATAAATAGTATTTTATCATATCCACAAAATAAAAGTAATAGTACTATATTATGATATTGTTCTATTGTAACATAAGAAATCTGTAAAAAATAAAACAAGAATATTCTTTCACAATTCTAAGTATTCAATAGATACAGTGATGTTTGCAAAGTACTGCTTAGTCTAGAATCTAGAAATCTCTGAAGAAAGCAGAGAAATGCCCTGAAATCTTAAGTCAGCTTACCCCTCCTCAGGTCCAGGTTCCTCAGGCCACCAATGCCATAGGCTCCCACTTCCACCAATAATTTAGTAGGACCCTTCTTTGTTAATATCTTATTTAATTTTATGAGATGGGACATATAAATCAATAAATACAACTTATGCCAAATTCTAAATCAGTAGTAATAAAAAATATATATTCCTTCAGAAATTAGACAAAATAAAATAAATGGGTTGACAAGGCCAGGCAAAACTCCTGAAAGGAAATTAGACCACACACCTAAAACCATCCGATATTCGACAAACCTGACAAAAAGAAGCAATGGGAAAAGCGTTCTCTATTTAATAAATGGTGATGGGAGAACTGGCTAGGCATATGCAGAAAATTGAAACTGGACCCCTTCCTTATACCATATACAAAAATTAACTCAAGATGGATTAAAGATTTAAATGTAAAACCCAAAACTACAAAAATCCTAGAAGAAAAACTAGGCAATATCATTCAGGACATAGACATAGGCAAAGATTTCATGACAAAAACACCAAAAGCAACTGCAACAAAAGCAAAAACTGGCAAATGGAATCTATTAAACTAAAGAGCTTCTGCACAGCAAAAGAAACTATCAGCAGAGTGAACAGGCAACCTACAGAATGGGAGAAAATGTTTGCAACCTATGCATCTGACAAAAGTTTAATACCCAGCATCTATAAGGAACTTACATTTACAAGAAACAAACAAACGATCCCATTAAAAAGCAGGCAAAGGAAATGAGCAG
The DNA here is from genome assembly GCF_000001405.40 of Homo sapiens. NCBI lineage: Eukaryota > Metazoa > Chordata > Mammalia > Primates > Hominidae > Homo > Homo sapiens. The sequence goes on along the minus strand of NC_000005.10, from coordinate 99,158,244 downwards.
ACACTTCTCAAAAGAAAACATACATGAAGCCAACAAACATATTGAAAAAAAAAAACAGATCAACATTGCTGATCACCAGAGAAATGCAAATCAAAACCACAAGGAAATACCATCTCATGCCAGTCAGAATGGCTTTTAATAAAAAGTCAAAAAACAACAGATGCTGGCAAGGTTGAGGAGAAAAAGAAATGCTTTTACACTGTTGGTGGGAGTATAAATTAGTTCAATCATTGTAGAAAACAGTGTGGCTATTCCTCAAAGATCTAGAGGCAGAAATACCATTTGACCCAGCAATCATATTATTGGGTATATACCCCAAGGAATATAAATAATTCTATTCTAAAGATACATGCACACATATATTCATTGCAGCACTATTCACAATAACAAACACATGGAATCAACCCAAATGCCCATCAGTGATAGACTGGATAAAGAAAATGTGGTACATATACACCATAGATTACTATACAACCATAAAAAGGAACAGGATCATGTCCTTTCCAGAGACATGGATGGAGTTGGAAGCGATTATCCTCAGCAAACTCACTCAGGAACAGAAAACCAAACACCACATGTTTTCACTTAGAAGTGGGAGCTGAACAGTGAGAACACAGGGACACAGGGAGAGGAACAACATGCACTGGTGCCTATCGGGGGTCGGGGGAGGGGGAGGATCAGGATAAATAGCTAATGCTTGTAGGGCTTAATACCTAGGTGATGGGTTGACAGGTGCAGCAGACCACCATGGCACACGTTTACCTATGTAATAAACCTGAATATCTAGATAAATAGCTAATGCATGTGGGCCATAATACCTAGGTGGTGGGTTGATAGGTGCAGCAAACCACAATGGCACACATTTACCTATGTAATAAACCTGCACATCCTGCACATGTACCCTGAAATTTTAAAGTTCAAGAAAAGAGTTGACTATATAAAAAATGTATATATGATTTTTTCAAAATGTAACTAATATTTAACTCTCTTTTACCTGCTTAGAAAATGAAAATAATTTGAAGTATTTAGCTGAATTTTAAAAATGTATATATATAACACTTTAAAAGACCTGAAATTATAAACAAAATTATTTTAAGGAAACTAATTTAAAGTCACAGTTTTGCTTTGATTGTATAGATGGAGAAATAAAGTGAATCTTTTTAAACCAAATAAGATACATAAAATGTGATTTCTTTGTATTCATTCTGTTTTGTGTAAAAAATATGAGTATCAATACATTTCCCTTATGTTATTCTACTTAGGAATAGTGTCATGAAGATCATTTTCATTTTTTGACATGCTCCATTTGGAGTCTTGTCTTATGATCACTTCTGAAAATAGTATTTGTTTCAGACAGGAAGAAACAGGGGAGAGATGTCATTGAATGTGACAAGCTGGCTGTGCAGATAATACCTGTGTTCCTTGCAACTATTTGGAGGACATTACCGTCAAGAATCCTCTTCTCAACTGCATCTCTAAAAACTTATTTTTTTAGCAATGTTCACAGAGTAATCCAAGTTAGGGTGACTGATTTACACTAAGTAAATTAAGAGTCTAAATAAGTCAAGCATGTCAAAGTTTTTTTAATAATGATAAACACTAATTGGCAAGAATATTTTATAAGCTCCAAGAAGGCAGGCTATGCTTATGTCATTGAGTAATACAGATCTAGACCTAGATATCAAATAGACAATAACTATTTGTTGAATTATTCAATTAATTTATTTAATGTTGGGGAAAGGAGGATCGGTTACTTGTCTCCCTAACAAAAATTATGTAACTAAATCCACAGACTTTTGCTTAACAATTGTAGAATCAAACTAAGAGGATACACTGCTTGATAGGCCACTGAGCTGGGTTAGCTAAAGCATCCATTGCTGACACAGAGGTGCATGTGCAGAGCCAGAAAGCCGATGTGGCTGTTAGGACTCTTCCCTTTCAGGGTGGAGATAAACAAAAAGGTTGAACTCCTCTTGTCTAGATTTTTGGCAAAACTACTCCCTATCTGTTAATAACATTCATCTTTAGCTGGCATAGAGTACGGCTGATTGAGACTTCAGCTTTTTAAAATTATATTCGTACTTCATCCATGCCTGCTTTATTCTACACCACAGTAAACCCAAGTCTCTCAGTGACATATTTAGAAAACCTTTCTTGGCGAATCTCATCTATTACGCATTACTCTTAATAGACTTATACTTCAGATTCTGGGAGCAGTTTACTATGCCCTTATTCTCAGTCACTACTGTGTTTGATGTTCTGTTAAGGCAACGGTTTTGAAGAGGCAATAACAAGTCAATGAGGTGAGATTTAGTCTTAGCTACTGGTTATATCATATGAAAATAAACTTCAAGGAAGTATCTGTCATTCTTAGTTTGTCCTTGGATTTTGGTTGCTTTGAATGCTGTTTAAAATGACTAGGCCAGCAGATGGGGCTTGTAAAATAGTTAATTGTACAGAGATACATTTGCCGTGATATCTTTTATTATATTTAGATAGGTATTATAAAATCACAATGAACGATCTTAGAATTTTGAAAATTTTAATAATTTTGACATGAACACATAAAGGCATGCTTAGTATATCCTTTATATGGAAGTAAGTATATCTAAATGCAAATACATTTTTCCATTTGCTATTTATTCAACTGCTTTTCTATTTTTTTCTCCTCTCTTTGCCTTCTTTTGGTGATATTCACTAACTGGTAATATCAAGCAATAGGTAAAAAAGAAAAACAAGTTAAGCAAAGTATAATTCATGGGTTTCAGAAGCTATTTCCCAAGTTATACATTTGTTCTATTATCATGTTGATTTTTTATCATTTTTCTTACGGACAAAGCAATAAATGGAGATCTTCTATCCAATAAGTGTCTCTACAGTATAATAATTGGTGTATTTTTCACATTACTATAAAGCTTTTTGAAATATCTGTGAAGTAATTTATAGACCTTACAATGACTAAAATTGCAGGTTTAATTTCTATTTTAGCATTAGATGCAAGTTGCTGCCATATTGGTATAATCTGTCAATTTTCTCTTGGATAAAATATACATCATGTGAGCCCTCTTAGTGACTCTAAATGGCTACGTGGAGTCTTCCAGAGTGTCTATGCACAGTTTTGGACAAATCAAAGTGAATAAACAAAGTACAGACCTGAATTCTGTAGCTAGAACACAGAAGCAATGATTTTAATCTAGAACAATTACAGCAGTTGTTAAAGTCATCTGTCTCCACAGGAAAGAATCAGGATGACTTCTTTCTGCTTCTGCATAGCAGCTTCTCCTATCAGTTTCACTGACATTAGCTGAAAAATGCTCCCAGACCAGCGAATCATGAACAGGGCTATTTCATGTTGCTACTTTACCATTGAAGAGAATCTGCCAACATAAACTATTATTTCTTCTTTTTTAACTTTTAAGTTTGGGGTGGGAGTGTCACAAGTTCAGGTTTGCTACATAGGTAAACTTGTGTCATGAGGGATTATTATACAAGTTATTTCATCATCCAGGTATTAAACTGAGTAACCACTAGTTATTTTTCCTGATCCTCTCCCTCCTTCCACCCTCCACTCTCCAATAGGCACCAGTGTATGTTGTTCTCTATGTGTCCAGGTACTCTCATTGTTTAGTTCCCACTTATAAGTGAGAATATGTGGTATTAGGTTTTCTGTTCCAGTGTTAGTTTGCTAAGGATAATGGCCTCCAGCTCCATCCATGTCCCTGCAAAGAACATGGTCTCATTCTTTTTTATGACTGCATAGTATTTCATAGTGTATATACACAACATTTTCCTTATCCAGTCTATCATTAATGGGCATTTAGGTCGATTCCATGTCTTTGCTATCATGAATAGTGCTGCAATGAACATACACATGCATGTTTTTATAATGTAATAATTTATATTCCTTTGGGTGTATACTGAGTAATGGGATTAGTCAAATAGTATTTGTCTTTAAGTCTTTGAGGAATAGCCACACTGTCTTCCACAATAGCTAAATGAATTTATACTCCCACAAACAGTGTATAAGCATTCCTTCTTCTCCACAACCTCACCAGCATCTGTTATTTGCTGACTTTTTAGTAGTAGCCATTCTGACTGGTGTGAGATGGTAACTCATTGTGGTTTTGATTTGCATTTCTCTAATGATTAGCAACATTGGGCTTTTTTTTCATATGTTTGTTGGCCACATATATGTCTTCTTTTGAAAAGTGCCTGTTCATATTCTTTGCCCACTTTTCAATTGGATTGTTTGCTTTTTTTCTTGTCAATTTGTTTAAGTTCCTTATAGATGCTGGGTATTAAACTTTTGTCAGATGCATAGTTTGCAAATCTTTTCTCCCATTCTGTAGGTTGTCTGTTTACTCTGCTGATAGTTTCTTTTGCTGTGCAGAAGCTCTTTAGTTTAATTAGATTCCATTTGTCAATTTTTGCTTTTGTTACAATTGCTTTTGGCGTCTTTCTCATAAAATCTTTGCCTGTGCCTATGTCCTGAATGGTATTGCTTAGGTTATATTCCAGGGTTTTTATAATAAACTATTACTTCTAGCAGTGGTTAAGCAACAGTATTGGTGTTTCTGAGATCATGCCAGATCATGCCACAGTCATGGTAATATCAACTGTGCTATTGGTGTGGAGGAAGATACTTGTTTTCCAAGTTGCTCTTGCCTCTGAGAATATTGCCCTGAAGGCTATATCAAAACATAATTTATCTGAAAATTATAAGTATATGAAGAAATATGAGAACACACAAGAAAGCCCATCATTTAAAATTGAAATTTATCTATTAGAAGGATATTCCTGCCAGGCACAGTGGCTCACACCTGTAAACCCAGCACTTTGGGAGGCTGAGGCAGGCAGATTGCTTGAGCTCAGGAGTTCCAGACCAGCCTTGACAACATAGTGAAAACCTATCTCTACAAAAATTACCAAACGTTAGCCTGGCATGGTGGTTTATTCCTATTGTTCCAGCTACTCAGGAGGCTGAGGTGGAAGTATCACTTGAGCCCGGGAGGCAGAGGTTTCAGTGAGCTGACATAGCACCATAGCACTCACACTCCAGCCTGAACAACTGAATAAGACCCTGTACCAAAAAAAAAAAAAAAAGGTTGTTCCAGTCTACTATGATCCTCTCAGTAACATTATGACACAAGCAACAGAGAATCAATTGAAAGCTAAAACTGCTTTTCAGACAGGTCACATAGGTAAAAGACATATACATGCATGCATACATTTATCTCACACATCTTTTAAAACAAAATATCTTCACACCCCATGTAGCTATTGCAACATTTATTTACTTTCTATTCACAGAAAATCTCCCTCTTACAATTGATTATACTACTTATATCTTTCTTCCTCCCATACTCTCCTCTATGCTCTCCATTCAGTGTATTTTTTGCCTCTACTCCACTGAATAGCTCAAAGGGTCATCAATACCTCCACCGCTAAATTCTATGAGTAATTCTCCAATCTTAGTTTACTTAATCTCTCAGCCACATTTGCTTCCTCTTTTCTCTGTATTTGTGCTCATTAAAGGATAAGAAAGATGATTCATAGGGGCAAAAGATGAAAATACCAGACTTCTAATTTATTTTATTTTTAAAATGAGAAACAAAATGAGAGCACTGGTGCTCTCACTTGGCCCATAAGATATATGGTCACAGTGTATACTCCAAGTACCTGGAGAGAAGAGTGGGGACCCGACAACTAAGAGGGGTTGTAGTAGACCCTAGCTTCCAACGTAGCTAAATGAATTTCAGTTTATCTGTTCATAGTTAATGGATTTATGAATTATATTTTGCATCTCAAACCAAAAAAAATTAAGGGGGGCAAATGGCTTTAAAATTGATTTCTACAATCCTCATGTAATAAAGTTTTGAATAAAACTTTTTTTTTTACTGTAAATTCTAGGGTACATGTGCACAATGTGCAGGTTCGTTACATATGTATACATGTGCCATGTTGGTGTGCTGCACCCATTAACTTATCATTTACATTAGGTATATCTCCTAATGCTATCCCTCCCCCCTCCCCGCCCCACAACAGGCCCTGGTGTGTGATGTTCCCCACCCTGTGTCCAAGTGTTCTGATTGTTCAATTCCCACCTATGAGTGAGAACACACGGTGTTTTGTTTTCTGTCCTTGTGATAGTTTGCTGAGAATGATGGTTTCCAGCTTCATCCATGTCCCTAACAAAGGACATGAACTCATCTTTTTTTATGGCTGCATAGTATTCCATAGTGTATATGTGCCACATTTTCTTAATCCAGTCTATCATTGATGGACATTTGGGTTGGTTCCAAGTCTTTGCTATTGTGAAGAGTGCTGCAATAAACATACATGTGCATGTGTCTTTATAGTAGCATGATTTATAGTCCCTTGGGTATATACCCAGTAATGGGATGGCTGGGTCAAATGGTATTTCTAGTTCTAGATCCCTGAGGAATCGCCACACTGTCTTCCACAATGGCTGAACTAGTTTACAGTCCCACCAACAGAGTAAAATGTTCCTGTTTCTCCACATCCTCTCCAGCACCTGTTGTTTCCTGACTTTTTAATGATAGCCATTCTAACTGGTGTAAGATGGTATCTCATTGTGGTTTTGATTTGCATTTCTCTGATGGCCAGTGATGATGAGCATTTTTTCATGTGTCTGTTGGCTGCATAAATACCTTCTTTTCAGAAGTGTCTGTTCATATCCTTTGCCCACTTTTGACGGGGTTGTTTGATTTTTTCTTACAAATTTGCTTAAGTTCTTTGTAGATTCTGGATATTAGCCCTTTGTCAGATGGGTAGATTGCAAAAACTTTCTCCCATTCTGTATGTTGCCTGTTCACTCTGATGGTAGTTTCTTTTGCTGTGCAAAAGATCTATAGTTTAATTAGAACCCATTTGTCAATTTTGGCTTTTGTTACCATTGCTTTTGGTGTTTTAGACATGAAGTCCGTGTCCATGCCTATGGCCTGAACGGTATTGTCTAGGCTTTCTTCCAGGGTTTTTATGGTTTTAGGTCTAACATTTAAGTCTTTAATCCATCTTGAATTAATTTTTATATAAGGTTTAAGGAAGGGATCCAGTTTCAGCTTTCTACATACGGCTAGCCAGTTTTCCCAGCACCATTTATTAAATAGGGAATCCTTTCCCCATTTCTTGTTTTTGTCAGGTTTGTCAAAGATCAGATGGTTGTAGATGTGTGGTATTATTTCTGAGGGCTCTGTTCTGTTCCATTGGTCTATATCTCTGCTTTGGTACCAGTACCATGCTGCTCTGGTTACTGTAGCCTTGTAGCATACTTTGATGTCAGGTAGTGTGATGCCTCCAGCTTTGTTCTTTTGGCTTAGGATTGTCTTGGCCATGTGGGCTCTTTTTTGGTTCCATATGAACTTTAAAGTAGTTATTTCCAATTCTGTGAAGAAAGTCATTGGTAGCTTGATGGGGATGGCATTGAATCTATAAATTACCTTGGGCAATATGGCCATTTTCATGATATTGATTCTTCCTATCCATGAGCATGGAATGTTCTTCCATTTGTTTGTGTCCTCTTTTATTTCATTGAGCAGTGGTTTGTAGTTCTCCTTGAAGAGGTCCTTCACATCCCTTGTAAGTTGGATTCCTAGGTATTTTATTTTCTTTCAAGCAATTGTGAATGGAACTTCACTCATAATTTTGCTCTCTGTTTGTCTGTTATTGGTGTATAGGAATGCTTGTGATTTTTGCACATTGATTTTGTATCCTGAGACTTTGCTGAAGTTGCTTATCAGCTTAAGGAGATTTTGGGCTGAGATGATGGGGTTTTCTAAATATACAATCATGTCATCTGCAAAAAGGGACAATTTGACTTCCTCTTTTCCTGATTGAATACCCTTTATTTCTTTCTCTTGCCTGATTGCCCTGGCCAGAACTTCCAACACTATGTTGAATAGGAGTGGTGAGAGAGGGCATCCCTGTCTTGTGCCAGTTTTCAAAGGGAATGCTTCCAGTTTTTGCCCATTCAGTATGATATTGGCTGTGGGTTTGTCATAAATAGCTCTTATTATTTTGATGTTCGTCCCATCAGTACCCAGTTTATTGAGAGTTTTTAGCATGAAGGGCTGTTGAATTTTGTCAAAGGCCTTTTCTGCATTTATTGAGATAATAATGTCATTTTTGTCTTTCGTTCTGTTTATATGACAGATTACATTATTGATTTGCATATGTTGAACCAGCCTTGCATCCCAGGGATGAAACCCACTTGATCATGGTGGATAAGCTTTTTGATGTGCTGCTGGATTTGGTTTGTCAGTATTTTATTATTTTTGCATTGATGTTCATCAGCGATATTGGTCTAAAATTCTCTTTTTTTGTTGTGTCTCTGCCCGGCTTTGGTATCAGGATGATGCTGGCCTCATAAAATGAGTTAGGGAGGATTCCCTCTTTTTCTATTGATTGGAATAATTTCAGAAGGAATGATACCAGCTCTTCTTTGTACCTCTGGTAGAATTCGGCTGTGAATCCATCTGGTCCTGGACTTTTTTTGGTTGGTAGGATATTAATTATTGCCTCAACTTCAGAGCCTGTTATTGGTCTATTCAGGGATTCAACGTCTTCCTGGTTTAGTCTTGGGAGGGTGTATGTGTCAAGGAATTTATCCATTTCTTCCAGATTTTCTAGTTTATTTGTGTAGAGGTGTTTAAAGTATTATCTGACGGTAGTTTGTATTTCTCTGGGATTGGTGGTGATATCCCCTTTATTATTCTTATTGCATCTATTTGATTCTTCTCTTTTCTTCTTTATTAGTCTTGCTAGCAGTCTATCCATTTTGTTGATCTTTTCAAAAAAAAACCAGCTCCTGGATTCATTGATTTTTTGAAGGGTTTTTTTGTGTCTCTTTCTCCTTCAGTTCTGCTCTGCTCTTAGTTATTTCTTGCCTTCTGCTAGCTTTTGAATATGTTTGTTTTTGCTTCTCTAGTTCTTTTAATTGTGATGTTAGGGTGTCAATTTTAGATCTTTCCTGCTTTCTCTTGTGGGCATTTAGTGCTATAAATTTCCCTCTATACACTGCTTTAAATATGTCCCGGTGATTCTGGTATGTTGTGTCTTTTTTCTCATTGGTTTCAAGGAATATCTTTATTTCTGCCCTCATTTCATTATGTACCCAGTAGTCATTCAGGAGCAGGTTGTTCAGTTTCCATGTAGTTGAGCAGTTTTGAGTGAGTTTCTTAATCCTGAGTTCTAGTTTGATTGCACTGTGGTCTGAGAGACAGTTTGTTATAATTTCTGTTCTTTTACATTTGCTGAGGAGTGCTTTACTTCCAACTATGTGGTCAATTTTGGAATAAGTGCGATGTGCTGCTTAGAAGAATGTATATTCTGTTGATTTAGGGTGGAGAGTTCTGTAACTGTCTATTAAGTCTGCTTGGTGCAGAGCTGAATTCAATCCCTGGATATCCTTGTTAACTTTCTGTCTCGTTGATCTGTCTAATGTTGACAGTGGGGTGTTAAAGTCTCCCATTATTATTGTGTGGGAGTCTAAGTCTATTTGTAGGTCTCTAAGGGTTTGCTTTATGAATCTGGGTGCTCCTATATTGGGTGCATATATATTTAGGATAGTTAGCTCTTCTTGTTTAATTGGTCCCTTTACCATTATGTAATGGCCTTCTTTGTCTCTTTTGATCTTTGTTGGTTTAAAGTCTGTTTTATCAGAGACTAGGATTGCAACCCCTGCTTTTTGTTTTGTTTTGTTTTGTTTTCCATTTGCTTGGTTGATCTTCCTCCATTCCTTTATTTTGAGCCTAAGTGTGTCTCTACACATGAGATTGGTCTCCTGAATACAGGACACTGATAGGTCTTGACTCTTTATCCAATTTGCCAGTCTGTGTCTTTTAATTGGAGCATTTAGCCCATTTACATTTAAGGTTAATATTGTTATGTGTGAATTTGATCCTGTCGTTATGATGTTAGCTGTTTATTTTGCTTGTTAGTTGATGCAGTTTCTTCCTAGCATCCATGGCCTTTACAATTTGGCATGTTTTTGCAGTGGCTGGTACTGGCTGCTCCTTTCCATGTTTAGCGCTTCCTTGAGGAGCTCTTATAAGGCAGGCCTGATGGTGACAAAATCTCTCAGCATTTGCTTGTCTGTAAAGGATTTTATTTCTCCTTCACTTATGAAGCTTAGTTTGGCTGGATATGAAATTGTGGGTTAAAAACTCTTTTCTTTAAGGATGTTGAATATTGGCCCCCACTCTCTTCTGGCTTGTAGAGTTTCTGCCAAGAGATCTGCTGTTAGTCTGATGGGCTTCCCTTTGTGCGTAACCCGACCTTTCTCTCTGACAGCCCTTAACATTTTTTCCTTCATTTCAACTTTGGTGAATCTGAGAACTATGTGTCTTGGAGTTGCTCTTCTCGAGGAGTGTCTTTGTGGCATTCTCTTGATTTCCTGAATTTGAATGTTGGCCTGCCTTTACTGTGTTGTGGAAGTTCTCCTGGATAATATCCTGAAGAGTGTTTTCCAACTAGGTTCCATTCTCCCCGTCACTTTCAGGTACACCAATCAGACGTAGATTTGGTCTTTTCACATAGTCCTGTATTTCTTGGAGGCTTTGTTTGTTTCTTCTTACTCTTTTTTCTCTAAACTTCTCTTCTCGCTTCGTTTCATTCATCTGGTCTTCAATGATACCCTTTCTTCCACTTGATCAAATTGGCTACTGAAGCTTGTGCATGCATCACGTAGTTCTCATGCCATGGTTTTCAGCTCCATCACGTCATCTAAGGTCTTCTCTACCCTATTTATTCTAGTTAGCCATTCATCTAATCTTTTTTCAAGGTTTTTAGCTTCTTTGCAATGGATTCGAACATCCTCCTTTAGCTCAGAGAAGTTTGTTATTACCGATTGTCTGAAGCCTTCTTCTCTCAACTCATCAAAGTCATTCTCCATCCAGCTTTGTTCCGTTGCTGGCGAGGAGCTGCGTTCTTTTGGAGGAGAAGAGGTGCTCTGATTTTTAGAATTTTCAGCTTTTCTGCTCTGGTTTCTCCCCATCTTTGTGGTTTTATATACCTTTGGTCTTTGATGATGGTGATGTACAGATGAGGTTTTGGTGTGGATGTCCTTTCTGTTAGTTTTCTTTCTAACAGTCAGCTGCAGGTCTGCTGGAGTTTGCTGGAGGTCCACTCCAGACCCTGTTTGCCTGGGTATCACCAGCAGAGGCTGCAGAAGAGCAAATATTGCAGAATGACAAATGTTCCTGCCTGATTCCTGATTCTTCCTCTGGAAGCTTTGTCTCAGAGGGGCACCCAGCTTTATGAGGTATCAGTCAGCCCCTACGGGGAGGTGTCTCCCAGTTAGGCTACTCCGGGGTCAGGGACCCACTTGAGGAGGCAGTCCGTCTGTTCTCAGATCTCAAACTCTGTGCTGGGAGAACCACTACTCTCTTCAAAGCTGTCAGACAGGGACATTTAAGTCAGCAGAAGTTTCTGCTGCCTTTTGTTCAGCTATGCCCTGCTCCCAGAGGTGGCATCTACAGAGGCAGGCAGGCCTCCTTGAGCTGCAGTGGGCTCCACCCAGTTCGAGCTTCCTGGCTGCTTTGTTTAGCTACTCAAGCCTCAGCAATGGGGGACACCCTTCCCCCAGTCTCGCTGCCACCTTGCAGTTCAATCTCAGACCTCACTGCCACTTTGCAGTTCAATCTCAGCAGTCAGCTGCTCAGCTTCTCCTCTGTGAAGCTAGCAGTGAGTGAGGCTCCATGGGCATGGGACCCTCTGAGCCAGGTGCAGGATATAATCTCCTGGTGGGCCATTTGCTAAGACTGTTGGAAAAGCACAGTACTAGGGTGGGAGTGTCCCGATTTTCCAGGTACCATCTGTCACAGCTTCCCTTGGCTAGGAAAGGGAATTCCCCGACCCCTTGCACTTCCCAGGTGAGGCGATGCCCCGCCCTGCTTTGGCTCACACTCCATGGGCTGCACCCACTGTCCGATAAGCCCCAGTAAGATGAACCTAGTACCTCAGTTGGAAATGCAGAAATCACCCATCTTCTGCGTTGCTCACGCTGGGAACTGTAGACTGGAGCTGTTCCTATTTGGCCATCTTGGAACCGGACAACTGAATAAAACTTTTATTTTGCTCAAAAATGAATGACTTGACCCCAAAGTTGAGGACAGATTGGTATCAAATACTTCACATTCTAAATAGGTCTGACAACAATTAGGGCTATGTGCCAGTTCCACAGATTAGTAAGAATCAGTAAAACCAAATTTACTTCCATCAGAGAATCTTGACCACACATGTTTTTAACAGACTCTATTTTTAGAGAAGTTTTAAGTTCACAGCAAAATTGAGCAGAAGGTAAAGAGATTTCCCATATGCCCCTTGTCTCCACACATGCATAGACTCCCCCAAAATCAACACTCCCCACCAGAGTGGTCCATTGGCTACAAGTGATGAATCTACCTTGAGACATCATTATTACCCAAAAACCATAGTTTACATTGAGGTTCACTTGGTGTTGTCCATCCTGAGGGATTGTACAAGCTTGTAAAGACATGTATCCACCATTATAGTGTCATACATAATAGTTTCACTGCCCTGAAAATCCTCTATGCTTTACCTATACATTCCTCCCTCCCTTCAACCCCTGGCAACTACTGATCCTTTTACTGTTTCCATAGTTTTGCCTTTTCCAGAATGTCATATAGTTGGACTCATACAATATATAGCCTTTTCAGACTGGCTTATTTTCCTTAGTAATATGATTTAAGTTTCCTCCATGTCTTTCCATGGCTTGGTAGCTTCTGTCTTCTTGCACTAAATAAGGACATCTTGGTTGCTTCCTACTTTTCTCAATTATGAATAAAGCTACTATAAACATCCATGTGCAAGTTTTTCTGTAGACATAACTTTTCAGCTCCTTTGGGTAAATATCAAGGAGCATGATTGCTGGGCCTTATGGTAAGAATATGTTTACTTTTATAAGAAATTGCCAAACTGCCAGTCTCCCAAAGTTGCTGTACCAGGTTGTTGCATTCCCATTACCAATGAATATGAGTTCCTGTTGTTCCACATCCTTGCCAGCATTTAGTGTTGGTGGTGTTCTGAATTTTGGCAATTCTAATAAATGTATAATGGTATCTACTTGTTGTTTTAATTTGCATTTCCTTGACAACAAATTATCTGGAGCATCTTTTCATATGTTATTTGCCATCTGTATATCTTTTTTGGTGAGGTGTCTATTAAGATCTTCATTTTGTAAATGGATTGTTTGTTTTTCTTACTGTTAAGCTTTGAGTTCTTTGTACATTTTGAGTAAGAGTCCTTTAACATATATGTTTTCTGCAAATATTTTCTCTCAGTCTGCAGCTTATGTTTTCATTATCTTTTTCTAATTTTTATTTTTTTTTATGAGTACATAGTAGTTATATATACTTATGGGGAACATGAACTATTTTGATACAAGGATACAATGTGCAATAATCACATCAAGGTAAATGGTGTATACATCACCTCAAGCATTTGTTAGTTATTTTTAAATTTACAATAAATTATTGTTGACTGTAATCGCCCTGTTGTTTTATCAAATACTATATTTTCTTCATTCTGTCTAACTATATTTTTGTACTCATTAATCATCCCCCACTTCCCCACCCCACTACCCTTCCAATCATCTGGTAACCATCGTTCTCCTCCATCTCCATGAATTCAATTGTTTTCATTTTTTGCTCCCACAAATGAATGAGAATAGTGAAGTGTGTCTTTAAGTGCCTGGCTTATTTCACTTATCATAGCGACCTCCAGTTCCATCCATGTCATTGCAAATGAAAGGATCTCATTCTTTTTATGACTGGATAGTACTCCACTGTGTATACATACCACATTTTCTTTATCCATTTATTCCTTGATGGACACTTTGGTTGATTCCAAATCTTGACTATTGTGAATAGTGCTGCAATAAACATGGGAGTGCAACTATCTCTTTAATATACTTATTTCCTTTATTTTGGGTATATACCTGGAAATAGGTTTGCTGGTGTTGCGGGAAGTCAGGGACCCCAAATGGAGGGAAGGGCTGGAGCCACAGCAGAGGAACATAAATTGTGAAGATTTCATTTTAATATGGACATTTATCAGTTCCCAAATAATACTTTTATAATTTCTTAGTCCTGTCTTTTCTTTAATCTCTTAATCTTGTTATCTTCATAAGCTGAGGATGTACTTCACCTCAGGACCACTGTGATAATTGTGTTAACTGTATAAAATGATTGTAAAACATGTGTGTTTGAACAATATGAAATCAGTGCACCTTGAAAAAGAACAGAATAACATGATTTTTAGGGAACAAGGGAAGACAACCATAAGGTCTGACTGCCTGCGGGGTCGGGCAAAAAGAGCCATATTTTTCTTCTTGCAGAGAGCCTATAAATGGACGTGCAAGTAGGAGAGATATCACTAAATTCTTTTCCTAGCAAGTAATATTAATATTAATACCCTGGGAAAGGAATGCCTTCCTGGGGGGAGGTCTATAAATGACCACTCTGGGAATGTCTGTCTTATGCAGTTGAGATAAGGATTGAGATACACCCTGGTCTCCTGCAGTACCCTCAGGCTTACTAGGGTGGGGAGAAACTCCACCCTGGTAATTTGTGGTCAGACCGGTTCTCTGCTCTCAAACCCTGTTTTCTGTTGTTTAAGATGTTTATCAAGACAATAATGTGCACCACTCAACATAGACCCTTATCAGTGGTTCTGTTTTTGCCCTTTGCCCTGTGATCTTTGTTGGACCCTTATCAGTAGTTCTGCTGTTGACCTTTGTCCTGTTCCCTCAGAAGCATGTGATCTTTGTTAGACCCATATTAGCAGTTCTGCTTTTTGCCCTTTGAAGCATGTGATCTTTGTAGCTACTCCTTGTTCTTACACCCCCTCCCCTTTTGAAATCCTTAATAAAAACTTGCTGGTCTGAGACTCAGGTGGGCATCACAGTCCTACCAATATGTGATGTCACCCCCAGCAGCCCAGCTGTAAAATTCCTCTCTTTATACTGTCTCTCTTTATTTCTCAGCCAGTCAACACTTATGGAAAATAGAAAGAACCTACATTGAAATATTGGGGGCAGGTTCCACCAATATGCTGGATCATATGGTAGTTCTATTTTTAGGTTTTTGAGGAACCTCCATACTGTTCTTTATAGTGGTTGTACTAGCTTACATTCTCACCAACAATGAGCAAAGTTTACCCTTTCTAACCATCCTCTCCACAATTTGTTATTGACTTTCTTTTTGATATAAGCCATTTTAACTGGGTGTATTAGTCCATTTTAACACTGCTCATGAAAACATACCAGAGACTGGGAAGAAAAAGAGATTTAATGGACTTACAGTTCCACATGGCTAGGGAGGCCTCAAAATTATGGTAAAAGTCAAAAAGCACTTCTTACATGGCAGTGGCAAGAGGGAGAATGACAGAAAAGCAAAAATGGAAACCCCTTATAAATCTCACTACCTTGAGACTTACTCACTACCATGAGAACAGTATGGGGGGGAAATGCCCCCATGATTCAGTTATCTCCCACTGGGTCCCTCCCACAGCACTTGGAAATTATGGGATTACAATTCAAGATCAGATCTGGGTGGGGACACAGAGCCAAACCATATCACTGGGTGAGATGGTACTTCATTGTAGTTTTGATTTCTGTTTATCTGATTATCAATGATACTGAGCATCTTTTCATATACTTGTTAGCCATTTGTATGTCTTCTTTTGAGAACTGTCATTCACACCTTTTGCCCATCTTTCAATCAATTTTTCTTCTTATTGAGTTGTTTGACCTCCTTATATAGTCTGTTTATTAACCCCTTTTCAGATGGTTAGTTTGCATATATTTTCTCCCATCTGTGGGTTGTCTCTTCACTATATTGATTCTTCCCTTTGCTGGGCAGAAGTTTTTAACTTGTGATCCCATTTTGCTTTGGTTGCCTGTGTTTTTGGGGTATTACTCAAGAAATCTACCCAGACTAATGTTCTGGAAAAAGTTTTCTTGGGATCTGGCAGCACTTTTTTGGAGAAGGCAAGAAAAGCCACAATGGCAACACTTAGGAACAGGACTTCTCCCTCCTCACCCCAGTTTCTCCTCAGGAGAAGGGCAACAGCTCCAGCTCTAGCATGGCAAAAGACTGGGTTTAGCCAGAAGCAGCCATGGTGGGGGAGGTGAAGCACTTTGTTTCTCAGCAAGGAACCTCTCTGAAGGTAGCAGTGGCTCCCAGGGCTCTGCTGGGCACAGTACACCACAACTTTGGCATCAGTCACATGGTGAGCTGGAGAGCAATCAGCAAAGCTGGTGCCCTGCCAAGAGACCAAGGCTGGACCTGCCCAGGAGGAGACAAGAAAGCCCTGACTCAGCAATGGAAACTAAAGAAGTTACTCATCACTACTGGGATATCTGGGGACAGGCTGTCTGTTCTTGGGAGAGGAGGTTACCAGGGTTCAGAGGGCCACCTGATGGTGATGGAGCATATTAAGTCACAGGGAAGGGCCTGGATCCAGGCCTCTGCTGTAGCAGCATCCAGAAGAGGTGGAGCCACAAGGTCACAATACACACAGACGCAGAGCACAGCCCTAGGAAACAGAACAGCTCAGAGCAGTCAGCTCCTCAGCTTCTCCTCTGTGAACCTGAGTGTGCTGCCACTCTCCCCTCTCGCAATCACCTCACGATGTCTCCACCCAACCTCATGAAGCCTGCTCTGTGGTGGGGCGGCCTATCTGAAATGCATGCCTACAAAGGGGAAGCTTGAGGAAATTTTATCTTAAGAGGTTACAGGATGGGGTCCTTATCTGACATCTGGGATATAAACCATTAACTAATATGCACAAATTAGATGGTTACATGGTGGTAATATTTATGTTGGCAATTTTAACTACTAATTATAGCTTTCTAATTAAATACACTAATGAGCCATTACTTGTTTGCTGCATTTTATTTCTTGAATATTTAGGCAGAGTCTCAAACTGAACTTCAATGTGCTGACAATATTAAACCAAGGAAGCTGCCATAAGGAATATTAAAAAATTATTACAGTCCCTCTAGTTTGGGTTTCTCAAAGTGTTTTCTACTAAGAAGCTACATTTGAAATATCTAAGATGATTGATAAAATTATAGATTTCCAAGTTATACTTTAGACCTGTTAAATCAAAATCGCTTTGGATGGGGCCTAGAAATCTGCATTTTAATATTCTTTCTAGATTATTCTTATATACACTAAATATACACTAAAGTTTGAAAACCGCCACTTTAGTACTATGATCTCCAAAGGAGTGGATACTTTCAGGTATTTATAATAATCCACTGGGATTTTAATTTCTTAATTATGTTTTTCTTGTCTAAAAATAAAAATAGAAAATAACTTGAGTCATATTTAATATATGGGTTGATCCACACACCCTGCTGTGAAGTAACCTGGGGGAATAAATTTTATATCAGAGAGAGAGTTTGATGATTTTTGTCCTCCCAAATTCATTGACTAACAGGCTTTGTGATCTATTATAGTCACTTGCTTTGGAATATCATCATGTTATTATGTTTATAAAAACAAGAATATTAAATAGTAGGATATTTATAGTATTCTGTAATGACATGAGAAGTAACCAGAAAATTCTTTCTACCACAACAGGTTCACTAGTTAGCTCAAGCCAAGTACTTAAGATTTATCAACTTATATAAGTGTAAAGCCTCATTCTTTTCTCAAAAAACAAAGTTCCAAAATCTCTCATCTTTAATGGATAAAGTAATCTCTCTCAAGCAAATTTTTTGACAAAGTAAACATATTTAATAAATCTCTTCACGGTCAAGCTGACGCTTTAACAAGTAAGAGACCAATTCTTTTTCAAAATAAAATAGAGCATTTTGAAAATGAATGCTTGTGAATGCTTACATTCTTAGATGATTTTCTTTTCTCTCTCTTTTTTTTTTTTTTTTTTTTTTTTGAGACAGCGTCTTACTCTATAGCCTAGGCTGGAGTGCAATGGTATGATCTCGGCTCACTGCATCCCCCGCCTCCTGGGTTCAAGCGATTCTCCAGCCTCAGCCTCCTGAGTAGCTAGGATTACAGGCATGTGCCACCACGCCTGGCTAATTTTTATATTTTTAGTAGAGATGGGGTTTCACCATGTGGCCCAGGCTGATCTCGAACTCCTGACCTCAGGTGATCATCCTGCCTTGGCCTACCAAAGTTCTAGGATTACGTGAGTCACTGCACCCAGCCAGGTGATTTTCTTGCTAAAAAAAAAAAAAAAAAAAAATGAATGCCTGGGAATGTTTACATTCTTAGATTATTTTCTTGCTAAAAATAATGAATATGTATACAACGTGAAATTCTCACATATTCACTCCCCAAAAATTTAGAACCAATTTTTAAACATGGTTTGAAATTCTGCAAATAAAAAGGCTAAGAATATTTTATAACTATTTTGTTTTAATATGAGATGACAATTTTTTTGAACAACAATTCTTAATTGGTATGCCAAAAACATGTGTTAATATCAAGAAATGTGAAAATTTAGTACTTTTTAATTTTAAAACTCACAAAATTGATAGATGAGTTTTTCATGAATTCTATGATTAATAAACACAGCCAATCTATTTTTATTTTGGTGTTTTGTGAGTTGTCTTTATCAATTATGACACCTATTATTGTAATAGGTACTGAAATAAACCCACCTTAGAATCAGACCTTCAAATAACTGAATCACAAAGCCTTAATCCAAATTTTTCAAATGAAATGTACTCTACACCTATTAATAGTGATACTAGTATTTTCAGTGAAAGCAAAATATTTATTAGACATTTAAATCCTTAATTTTTAAATATTATTCATTTTATTTTCATTTATTTTACTTACTTTAAATTTCTATTTGTGTGTGCTTTCTATAACATACAATCACTCACTATATAACTTTAAAATAAATAAAAGTAATATAATTTGGAGATGCATGTTTTTGTTTGTTTCTTAAGGCAAAGTCTCACTCTGTCACCCAGGCTGGAGTGCAGTGACACAATCTCTTCTCACTGCAACTTCCGCCTCCCAGGTTCAAGCGATCCTCGTGCCTCAGCCTCTCGAGTATCTGGGACTACAGGCATGCACCACCACGCCCAGCTAATTTTTGAGAGAGAGGGTTTCGCCACGTTGGCCAGGCTGGTCTCAAATTCCTGACTTCAAGTGATCCACCCTCTTTGGCCTCCCAAAGTGCTGAGATTACAGGAGTGAGCCACCACGGCTGGCCAGAGATGCGTTTTTTAAAATATTTTACTGATAAGAGGTGCAATTGGGAAAATGTGGAAGCTATTGCTTCAAGTGGTGACATTTTCGTTGACACAGCTATATTTTCCTGTTAAATTAAAAATGGAGGAAAGACAAAAACTCCTATTTCAAGCCATTCAATATAAAGCCATCTTATTTACATTTAAGCAAACTTGGTAAAGTTAATGTTGGTGAGACTTCCTCATGAACCACTTATCATCTATCATATCCCATATTTTGAAGTCGGCTTTCTCACACTGGCCTCTGATATCTCTTAATGTTGAAGAACCTGGTCTCACAAAACATGACTTGCCTATTGCCATTCTATAGAGATAACAGTTTATTGATGCTGTGATAATCATACCTGTGTGAAATTTCTTTTCAAATCTATGGCTTGAAACAGTTTCAGGGAAGAAAAAAATCCATAAGCTATCAAAATGCCTTTTGATTTAGATCACAGTCTCTGGAATTGTTGAGCCCAGTCTAAGTTTGTGTAGCACCATATTTTCAAGCATCCAAGAAACTCTAGGCTAAAAATATTTTCACTTTGTTTCTCCCAAAACACCAATGTACCTTTATAGATATCTCCTTTATGAAATCTAAACTTTATCTCACTTATAGGTTTGTTTTTCTAGAGGCATGCACCACTCAGGAATAGTCTCCCTACCTATGTGTCTATTGACAGAATTTTAATCAGAAAAAAAAGATGTGAAGAGGCATAACTTAAATGGGAAAAAATTCACAGAAAGCATAACAGCCTATCTACTCCTTTGCCCTGATGTTAGTGAGGTATATAAGAGACTGTCTGTAGTCTTTGTAGACTAAGCCTGGGGTCTTTTCTAGCACATATAAAATGATTTGGTAGAATAAACACAGGTTTGAGATTCACAAAATGGGCATTTGTGGACCACATTCTGTCCCTGTCACATTTATTGTAACTTTCTTCTCTGGTCCTTCATATATAAAGTAGATTTTTTTTAAAATCTAACCTATGATCTTCTTGAAAAGATGAATGAAATAAGCTATGATATGTATTTTGTGAATACAGGGAATCAGCAGAACCCTGTTATCTCATTTAATTGCCTTGTCCTTTTCACCATCCTCTGGCCCCTCCTTCTAGGCAATTTTTCAAAAGACAACTCATTTCTGCAACTTCACTCAGTTCCAATATCCCTAGAAGTGTTATCAGCAAAATATGAATACTATCTGATTTTCTGTAGGTTCAATTTGTTGTTGGTTTGCATAATGGAGACAATAGTTTTGTAAATATTAAACCAATCTATGGTTCATGACCCTATAAACCATGTCCCCTGCAGGACTCAATTATTAGGCATTAGCCTTGAGGTCTATTGCACTAGGAAGCTGATGGTGGGTTCACAAGAAGATCATGAAATAAAAAAGAAAAAGTTTATGTCATAAATAATTTCCTTCAAATGAGCAAAAAAGGAGACGTTCAAGACAAGCTGAAAGGGGTAGGGGTAGGACGTGCCAAGACTGGAGAAAAAGGTGGGATGCCAGGCTTCTTATTACTGCCTTAGAGATCACTTATTAAGAGGCAATGACATCAAAGCATGAGAAAGTTTAGCTGAAATTAGACAGGCTTTGTCCCACTGGTTACCATTAGAGATTCTAAGAGAAAAGCATCTGCCACAATTTGGAACAACTGTGCCAAAATAGAAATTAGGTGGGTAACATCTGGGCAGAAAGAGGGTTGAAGAAAGCATCCCACCCACAGAGACTCGCTTGGTTCCATGGATAATGAAAAATCTTCAAGCACTCACACATGCTCTGGACCAGAAATATAGCTGAGTTGAAGCCGGTGGGCCTGATATAGGGCCATTATGGAAAGGGATGAGGTGATTCATGGCTGGGTCTCAGAGAACCTGCAGGAATAGCAGGTTCCAAGATGAAGTGAGGTCAGCAGATGAAAACAGCCACCCCCTGGTCACTGACCTTGTAGAGTGACCACAAGATGAGTGTCACCAGCCCAAAACACAGTAACACATGTCAACGAATGCACACTGACTGGGCAAGACAAGAGAGAACCCAGATGACAGCAGGGAACCCTCATGCGGAAAAATCACCTTTTCCTCATCTCAATGAGGACAAGTTAAACTTCCTCCTACCTCCAGAAGCCATGTTAGAATATAGAAGGGGGAACAGAATAACAGACTCAATAAGGATTAGAACTTTGAAGGGAATAACTATTACCAGTTTAGGTTAGTTATGGATATGTTTTAAATCTGAAGAGGGTAATAAATCCTTAATTGGCAAGTTTATGTTCCTCTACCATTCTCTGAGCCTTTTACCTCAGCTACTACCAAGCAAAATGGGACCTTGAAATAAAAACTTTATAAAAAATTTTAAATTATCCTTTTGGTTGGTATTTAAGTATATGAGCAAATACAAAGGATTAGTTATCAAAAGGATCAGACTCCCACAAATCAGAGACATTACTCACTACCAGACTTTACTAGTAATCTCACGGGTGCACACAATCAAGAAGTAGAAGGAGGAAGATGTCTAGGATATCTCACGTGACTTCCCAGGTCTTTTCTTTATGCATCACATGTACTGTCTGGCTCAGAATAACAGATGAGGCTCCTAAGCGAAGTTGGTAGGTTCCTTCACACAGAGGGGAGTGTGTACACTGAAACATTGTGTACCAAATTTTTACAGAGCTATGTGACAACACATTTCCAGGAATCCATGCCTTTTAAATCTAGATACAAAAATAGATGATTAATAGATAGGTAGACAGATGATAGATAGACAGACAGACACCAACATAAACCAAAAGAAACCTTGAGTGTCTATATTAATATTTAACAGTCAATTTCAGAATGAAACATATTACAAAGATAAATAATTATTTTATAACGATAAAGAAGTTAACTCATAAGAAGACAAAACAATTCTAAGAGTTTATGCACCTAAGAACAGAGCTTCAAAGTACATGAGGCAAAATATGATAGAACTGCCAGTAGATAACAGAAATAGACAAATCCATAACTAAAGGTGGAGATTTCAATCTTTGTCTCTCAAAAATATGTGTTAAAGTACACAGAAAATAAGAATGTTGTTATGGATTGAATTATGTTCCCAAAAATTTATATGGTGAAGTCCTAACCCTCAATATTTCAGAATGTGACCTTATTTGGAAATAAGGTCATTACAGATGTTATTAGTTATGTCGAGGTCATACTGGAGTAGAATAGACTCCTAAACCAGTAAGCCCGGATTGGGTTTTAAAAAGAGGAAATTTGGACACAGAGACATGCACACAAGGATAACACCATGTGAAATTTGGAGTTATGACACCAAAAGAGAAGGAATTACCAAAAGCTAGGAGAGAAGCCTGAAACAGATCCTTCCCTAGTATCTTCAAAGGAAATGGCCCTGCCAAAACCCTAGTATCAGTTTAAGATACTGTTTGTGGTGCTTTGTTATACAAGCCCTAAAAAACAATATAGATATAAAACTTGAACAGCATCAGCCAACTTGACCTAACTGATATTTACAGAACACTCCACCCAACAATAGCAGAATAAATATTTTTATTAAGTCAAACAGAACATTAACTAAGATAGACCATATTTTGGGCCATAAAACCAAAGACACAGTTCATACAGTTCTGACCACAATACAATTAAATTAGAAATTACTAACAGAAAAATGTATTTTTCTCTTTTTCTTTTTAGGCACATAAGTTTTAGCACTTCCATGTATTGTGGCATGTGACATTCAGATGAACCTCTTATAGATTTAAAATTATTCCAATGAAGAATTTGGGAGAAGCCACAGAAAGTGGATTCCATTTTAACTCAGAAAGGTTCTGGGCAAAAGCTTTGTAAGTTAGATACCATTTCAATGAGAAAATTTGGCCTGAAATTATACAAATATGCAAAGATATATGCACTGAAATGTGTACTATTGACTTGTTTATAACCACAAAAATAATAAATTGTAAATATCAATGTTATTTTAGTAACAAAATAAAATGGTGAAAAATACAATATGAATAAGGGTTAAGATGTTGCTCAGTTACCAGTACTATCGTATAAGTTCACCAGTGGCTTAACTTATACTTCAGGAAATTCTGCATTAACTAAAAAACAACCCAAAAAGGTGAATGTTATAATCCAAAACCATCAATTTTTTGAAGAAAATACAAAGTTGATAAAGTATTTAATAATCCCTTTAAATCATAACAATGGTAGCAAAACCACTATCATTTTACATTTACATAAGAATTCTAATTTATAAAGTGGTTTCCCATATCTCACCTCACCAAAGTTTCAATATAAGCCAGGTACAGTGGGGAGCACCTGTAGTCCCGGCTTCTCAGGAAGTCGAGATATTGAGCCCAGAAGTCAAAATCTAGCCTGGGGAACATAGTGAGACCCCAACTCTTAAAAAAAAAAAAAGGATTTCATTATGTCAATTGTTCATAAAATAAACAGAATAAGGATTATCCTTAGTTAATTGAATCAGTCAACTATGTGTGACTTAGTGTGAACATTTTCTTTAACCTAGAAACTGAAGTTTTAAGTTAGAAAGTATATTAATCTATCAACATATTTTATTACATAACTAAAAATGTGTTAAAAGAAAAAAATTGTTCCAAATTGCATCTGGTAAATTAAGTGAGATCTATGTTGCTTATTATGATCCCAAAGTGAATACGTTACAAAGCTCAAAACAAAAATCACAGTGTCTGTTCAGAATATATGACAAATGGCCCATTAATTTTCTCTCACATGCACCTATCAAATTTTCTCTTCCATTGTTAGAGTCCCTGCATCCCATTACACTGCAATTCAGTGAAATGAATGCAGAATTAAATAAACAATATGAAGCGAGTTTGCCTCACAGCAGATATTTGCATTACATCCATGAGAATTCTCTGTTATTAAATTAGCTGCAGGGGGGCTTTTTTATTGCCTCCTAAATGTAAAAGAAATGTTCGAACTAAATAAAATTCCATGGTTAACAACTAAATATTGCACTAAAAGAGGTCAAGTCCACCTGTTTTCTAATGCTACATGCACGCAACTTTTGATAAAGGGTAACCTTTAATTTTCAATTAAAAGTGAGAACAATGCTTGCCCTATATTTTGGCTATTCAGATTTTCCCACAAATAAAGATGGTATTAAAATTGCATTATACTGAAGTTTTCACATAAAGAAAATGCTGAACTCAATAGGCTTAATGGCATATCATTCTGTTTTTCTGCCTAGTTTATTGCTTACATTAATACCCTCATTACCCAAAACACCAATGAAGAGCCAGAAAGTAACCCATGTAATTATAGTTTTTAAAACATGTTGAACTTTGGGGTCAAATGGAACTGATTTTTAAATCCAGCACAATCACCTGCTAGCAAGGTGATTTTGAACAAGTTGTTTAGCCTTATCTGTAAAACAGAGATAATAACCGCTATTTCTCATGGTTGTATGGCATAAATAAGAAATGAATAAAGCATGTGGGATAGTTTCTGCACATAATTGGTACTCAGTTGTTTTTGCTGTTATTAGGCTGCTACTTCATAAAACCAAAACTTCATTCACAGGAGAACCATGGAGATAGAAACCAAGGGCTTCTTTGCTCGTGTTGTGCACATAGCTCTAAATATCTCACCTTTTAAAATTCTCAGTACTAATTTCTTTTATTCATTCATTCAGCAAATATTTATTAAATTCCCAGTACATGTCATGCACTGGTTTAAGCACTGGGGATACAATAGTAAACAAAGCAAAAATTCTTGCTCACATGAAATTTATATTCTTGGGAAGGATTCAGATAATATAAAAAGTACATAAAATATGCAGTACGATAAATAGCAATGAGGGCTAAAGAAAACTAGCAGAACAGGAAAAGGGGATAGAGACTATCATGGTTGGAGGTGAGGGTTCCAGAGTGTCCTATCTTGATGTCTACTGAGTAAGTGACATTAAGTCATACAGGAGGTAAAGGAAGAAGCTATGTAAAGTGGTCAGATTATCGTTATAGTTTGAAGCACAGCTAGTATAGTTTGAAGCACAGCTAGTAAGATTTCTTGACAGATTAGATATAGATTGTAAGAGAAAGGGAAATATCAAAGATGACTCCAAGATTTTTTACCTCAGCAACTAGAAGAATGCAATCGCATCTGAGATGAGAAAGATTATGAAAGTAGTCGGTTTAGAGAAAGAACATCAGGAGCTCCATTTGGAACATAAGTTTGAGATAACTATTAGACATGTAAGTAGAGATTTTAAGTAGCCAATTGAATATATAAATTTGGAATTCAGGCAAAGACCATCCTGAAAATGTTAATTTGGTAGTTATTAGATTATTATCAGCATGTAATCATAAGACTCACTAAGATCTTTAAGACTCCTTAGGAGTTGAGTAAATATAGAAATTAAAGAGATACAAGGACTGAGACCCTTATCATTTAGATATGATAGAGGGCTCCCTATTACTCAGATATGATAGAGGGGCCTCCATCATTTAGGAATCAGAGAAATTTTTAAAAAGCAGAAAAGAGGACTAACAAAAACAGTTCAATGGGATAGGAAATTAAAAAAACAGAGTAAGTTATATAGAAAGCCAAGCCAAAAAAAAAGTATCACAGAGAAGAGAGAGATCACTGTCACAAAATGCTTTCAAAGGGTCAAGTAACATGAAGTTTGAGAGTGTGCATTGGATTTAACTATTTGGAAGTCATTGGTGACCTTGACAAGGGATGTTTCATTGAAGTGGTAGAAGCAAAAGACAGATTAGAATCAAGAGAAACTGAGGCAGCAAGTACAGAGAATGTTTTCAACAAGTTTCACTGCAAAGGGAAGGAAAGAAAGTGATGGTAGTAGAAAGGAAAGTAAGTCAGGAAGAGTTTTGTCATTGTTGTTATTACTGTTTCTAAGATGAGAGAAGTTCCAGTATATTGTGTTCTGATGGGAAAGACCTAGTAGATGAAGAAACATGATGATGTAGGAGAAAGAGAGGACACTTGTTAGAGCAATGACCTTGAGTAATAAGAAAAAGAAACTAGAGCTGGTGCAAAGAAAGGTAGAATGCAGCTGCTAGTATTTGTTGGTAGGTACATAGAGCAGTGGAATCTTCTAGAAGTTCTCCCTTGACCGCGTCTAATTTCTCAGTTACATAGAATGCAAGATCAATCACTGAGAGTGAAATTTCATGAGTTTAAAAAAAAACAGAATAAGATATAAAATAATAGACCATAAGAGGGAGAAAGTAAAATAGGCATGGGAATGGAGTGAGACAGTCTGGCAGTATTGAGGGTCCAACAGAGAAAAGTGATCATAAATTCCAAATGAAATTGTGAATGGATAAACAAAATATGGTATTTTACATACAGCCTTAAAAAAGAATGAAATTCTGACACATGCTATATGACATGGATAAACCTTGAAGACAGTATGCCACATGAAATACCCAGTCAAAAAGGGACAAACACTATATGATTCCCCTCATATGAGGCACCTAGAGTAATCAGATTTATAGACAGAAAATAGAATGGTGATTGTCAGTGGTTGAGAGGAGAGAGAAATGAGGAGTTATTGTTTAATGGGTATGAAGTTCAGTTTAAGAAGATAAGAAAGTTTTGGAGATGGATAGTGGTGATGATCACACAGCGTGGATGCAGTTAGTGCTAAGGAACTGCACAGTTAAAATGGTGAAAATAATAAATTTTATGTTGTATGTATTTTATCAAAACCTTAGAAATTGTTTTTCAAGTTAAAAACATAAAATAAAATGAAATCAGACTGCATTGTTTTGTGTTTTACTCCAGCCATGTTCAGCTATACAGACAGGGCTGGGGGAGAGTTTGATTTAAACAACATTGTTGTTTTGCTTTTCAAGTTCGAGTAAGAACTCATTATAATGATAAACCAGGTAACTTAAGTCTGAAAAACAATGAAGGAATTGAGGACATGAAGGTAGTGATAGGCACTAACATGCTGGGAGAATCATACCTGGTAGGCTCGGTAGATTGTGAGAGTTGGGGTATTAGGGACTATGAGCTGAAAAATAGAAGGCGGTATTCAGAGAGGGGTGTTTGAAATTGAGATTATGGAGATATTTAAATTGTATATACTGACAAAGCCTAAAACACAGTCTTGGGAGTAAATGATTTAGGGTTGGTTGAGGACAAAAATCAATGGAGAAGAGAAGGTAAAGAAACTGAGGACGTTCACCATTCACATCAAAAACATTAAATTAAGTTAAATTCTGCAAAAAAGAAACCGAGAGGCCAGGGTATTGAAAGTATCACCTATGCAGATATTGAAAATATCAAGAATTGTGATGGCAGTATTATTATAAAGAGTGTCAGTGAGCTAGGAGTTAAAATTTTCAGGGAATGAAAGTTACGAAGTGGTGTGGGGCAGATGGTGGCAATAGATGATTGCAACAATGAAGAGTAGGGGACAAAATATAGTCATAAGATAATATTCAAAGTGTCTCATTTGTAGGAAGAAGAAAAAAGAATGATCTGGAAGCAGCAAAGAAGTCACGTACTCCATCTGGCCAGTGGCATAAGATGCATGAAAGAAAATAAAGCCACCACTTGATAGGGCTGCAGCAGCAGCAGAAGTGTTCAGCTTCAATTAGAACATGACATTAATGTTATGCGCAGAAAAGCCTTCAGTGACAAAGGGGAATTTCCCAGTGATTGGTGTTAAAGCTTAATCAGCCAAAGACCAGGAGGAAACAGCTTATAGTCTGACAAAATCAGATTTATTGGTTTGATGCAATGAGGAAAGGCACCCCAGAGGAAATGTGGAATGCAGCTTTCAACAAAAGGGAAGAGAAAACCATGTTTTGTGAGGTTTGGGTTTCTGCTGAAGGATTCTGAGAAGAGTCTAAGGGAAGTGGGGATCAGTTCTGGGTTCGCTTGCTGTTTCTATGGCAGAATTTCGAAAAGCAAAAATTAACTAGGGAATCAGTGCTGTCATGAGGCATGGGTGGCTTAGCAACTGGGTATCCTCAGTAATAGATGACTGTAGCAAAGTAGGTCTAGAATGTCACGGGTGAAAAAGCAGTGATCATTCAAAGCAGAGATCCTGGAGGCATTTTACAGTTGCTGCATGACCTCTGCAGAATTACTATTTCCTGTTAACTTTGGAGCTGTCTGTGTCCTTGTCTGACCTCCCAGCCTGATTAATGTTAGCGATGCTCTTTGCTCTAATCAGTCTTAGCTGATATCCACTCTTTCTGCCCCGGACAAGCTTTGATTCTTTCACTGAATATAACTTCCAGAGGGCATATTGGAGGAGATTCAGAAAATGGGGCAGATGTGAAAGATGGGGCCAAAAGCGGATTAAAGTTTAGGATACTAGCGATGACCTAAAAGATGTTGGCTTTTTGACCTGATTATTTGTCCTCACTGTCTGGAGACATATTGTGAGGATAAGGCTGTGAAAGTATAATGGGTCGGGGGGAGTTGGAGGTCTTCCTATGGGTTCTCAAAGTCCCAGAATGCACCCTTGGCCCCTGCCAATAGAGGCCTACAGAGAAATTAGCTTATTTG
Organism: Homo sapiens; assembly: GCF_000001405.40. Classification (NCBI taxonomy): domain Eukaryota; kingdom Metazoa; phylum Chordata; class Mammalia; order Primates; family Hominidae; genus Homo; species Homo sapiens. The sequence goes on along the minus strand of NC_000005.10, from coordinate 99,129,449 downwards.
GACTACAGAGGCTCTCCCTTGACTTGTGTGAGAAAGCAGCAAGTAGAGAGGACAAAACAGTGAGTAAAGGTATTTCCCCATAGCAAAGAGAAGCGACAGCAGAGGAAGAAATAAAAACTATTAAAAAATCTAATTTCAAACATCAAAACAATCTGGAATTATTTGATATAAAAGGAAATAATTCAATATGCAGCATATTCTCTGAAGTCATCAGAGTGTTATAGCAGAGTTAACTAATATTAATAATAATGTGCCTGAATTAACAATAAAATGGAAAGTTATTAGCATTTATAAAGCAATAAAGTAGAGCCAGAATATATTTTTATTTCCTTCTATTCACAACACATAATTTACTGCTCCTTCTTCACTTGCTCCTTCTCCATTAAATATATATTTTTAACACTTTCATCAAGAAATATTGTTAAAAGTGTTTATACTTAAAAAACTAAATCCTCAGTTACACAGAAAACTTGACGCTACTGAGAGACCCATATCCCAAAAGTTACCCAGTGGGTGGACTGGAACATGATGTATCCCATATTCACACTCTGCCTCTCAGCGTGAGGAAACAGAAGAGGTCTCTCTACCAACACCACCATTGAAAGAACAATACTGGAAAGTTAGAGATATAAAAGACACAGCCCACGCCCTACTGTGTAACACAGATTTATAACACTAAACTCACATTTGCATAGTGTTTTGCAGTTTACTTACTATTTTAATGTGCATTCTACCATTTGCTTCTCACAAATACCCTGTAAAGAGATATAATCTCATTTTGCAAAAGCAGACACTATGCTTCAGGGAGTAAGAAACTTTCCCAAGATCACATTACTACTGAGTAGAGATTGGACTTCAGTTCAGATCTCAATCTTCATATTTGGACAACTAGTTGGACAGAAGAAGAGCAGGCAGACATTACATCAGTGTTTCAACTCAGCTTCCTTATACAGTCAAGGTACAAAAAGCACCCACACCCAAAAAATGACATACATATTGGGGACAGTGTACACTGCTTGGGTGACTGGTGCACAAAAATCTCAGAAATCACCACTAAAGAACTTATCCATGTAACCTCATACAATCAAGGCAGACGGTACCAATGAGACAGGTCAGGAGAATGAGGAGGTGCCTGCACCTCCCAGGCTGGAGTGCAGTGGCATGATCTCAGCTCACTGCAACCTCCACCTCCCAGTATCAAGCAATTCTCCTGCTTCAGCCTCCTGAGTAGCTGGGATTCCAGGCGCCTGCCACCATGCTGGGCAAATTTTTTGTATTTTTAGTAGAGATGGGGGTTCACCATGTTGGCCAGGCTGGTCTCGAACTCCTGACCTCAAGTGATCCACTCACCTAGGCCTCCTAAACTGCTGGAATTACAGGTGTGAGCCACCACGCCAGGCCAGTATTCATTTAAATTTGACCTTAGAATAATTCACTCATACTATTGATCTCATTTGACTTCAACTACTGTCCTAAATATTAATTTAGTGTGTTTATATTGGCCAAATTATATCAGCTGATTTCATATACAAATTAGATACTGTCCAGTTCCCTTTGCATAGAAATTCTGTTTTCATTTTCACTCTCCTCATATTTTATTACTTTAGTCATCTGGATAATGTATCATGTTTAAAAGGGAGAATGAGGTCTCCATTAAAATAAAAGGCCCCTAAATGTTATAAGCACATTCCTGTGATTTCTTTAAAGATTATGTTCCCAGGTCATTTAAATTCAGTACACTGACTTAGATATCAAAATACACATTTAGAAACTTAAAGACTCTTCTGAAAATGTAATAAATAGATAATTGCTTATTAGTGTACTTGGGAGAACAAGTGAAGTCAAAATATAAGCATTACAGTTACTTATCTGTTTCTTAAATATGTTTAGAATATGATATGATTTGTACCTTTGCTTAACAAACATATAGTGAGCACCTGCTGTCTACCAGGGTCTGCTTTCATATAGTTTACAGTCTAATGGGAAACAATATCCATGTGAAGAAATGTGCCAGAAAATCTATAGGGTATGGTGGGAACACAAAAAATAAAATGGTAAGTTATATACTAGATTATCAGAAAATTTTTTTATCAGCAGAAATAACTTTTGATCTGGATCTTGAAAGAGGAGTGTTTGCTATGTATATTGGAAGGACTAGAAACTATTAGATGAGGGTGTTTGCAATAAAACTGTATACGACAGGAGCCAAAAACTGTGGAATGGAGCACACAAAGAGCTAGTTTAAGAGAGGAAGACAGAAGAAAGAGCATGAAAAATGCCTTGTGCCATAAAACTGAGTTTGGACTTTATTTTCTCGGTGATATCCTTATTAATCATGCCAGAATAATTATTATAATAATCTTCAATTTCAGTAGTTTGAAAGCAATTGCTATATCAATATTTTAACTTACTCAAATGTGATATGTGAATGTGTAATATTTGCAGTAGCATGGCAACCAAAACTAATTGTTGGGTATTACTTGTTGCCTTTGTTTCTTGCTACATGATTAACATTTTTTTTCTGTGGGTCAATGATCCAAGATAATTACACGGTTCCACTTTTGCTAAGTATGCAAGTTCAATAGTTATATATGGAAGCTGAAAGATTTATTCTACATTTGCTGTGAATACTCTATAACAATTATTGAGCGTGTAGTATACTCCAGGTTTTGTGCTAAGTGCTTTGTATATAGTATGTAATCTCATTCTCAAAATACTTGTATTAGTTAATACAATTTTTTCCATTTTGCAAATGAAGAAACTGGAGCTCAAAAATTGAAAGTGATCCCTTCTGGCTCAGGCATTTTATGAATAGCAAAGTTGGAACTTGAACCCAGGTCTCACAGTCAACACAGACCATATCCATAGTGATTAACTCAGGAAACACAAATATAACTAAGCACAGTTTCCTCTCTAAAGGAGCATATAATTTTGTGGGGTAAATGGTCGACTACAAAATAGATAGTAGATGTTCACAGTGAGGTTGTATTGGATGAACACCTACTGTAGACTACAACCATTGGGGAATGCATTCCATAGGATGGAATCTGCAAAATGAAGGAGGAAAGTGGGGAGGCTATTTCAGGCTAAAAGGATAAGACACAGTGTCTCTGTGGAAAACCACACGACTCCAGGGAACTGCAGGGTCTTATGGTTATTATCAGGACATTTGTAGTAAGATATGCATTGTTCATCCACTGTTGTAGATCCTTGATTTGGTCCTATACCAATATTCTACCTGGCATTAACTTAGTCCAAAACAATATGTTAAAGTTAGATATCAATGACTTGTACAACTCCCTGAAATATGAGCTACAAGAGAAGAGTCCCTGGTAAAATACGATTAAGACATATACAGTTTCTAAGAGATGCAATCTTCTGTTGGTACGCACAATATTGGTCTCTGACCAGACCTATAAGCACAATTTATCCTTTAATACCTCCAGGATTTTACCATTAAAAGTAGTCAGGCATTTAAAGTCTATGTATGTTAAAGGGTAGCTATCAAGGGAATTAGCCCAAGTCCACTTTTGTGCCAAAAAAATATAAAGTCTGAAGGACCATTGGAAATTGTTAGATGAATTTTCAAAATTACAACTTTCAGGGCTATGAAATATAATTAAGTGTTATAAACTCTAACAAAATTATACAACCAGAAAAATGAGAGAACTTGTTAAGGGAAGTCAATAAAGCTTGACAAAATTGTCTGGGTTTGTAGAGTACTGGGCTAAAAAGTGCAATTGACTGTTGACATCAAAAGTTTTCTTTAAATATATACACCTACTATGTACCTACAAAACTTAAAAATTTAAATTAAAAAGAAGTTTTCTTTTTAATCTAAAAACTAACAAACCTTCAAGCTTAAGTTGTTTGGCCTCGCAAACTTGTGCCACTAACACAAGTCAATATCCCCCTTTAACTCCAACCCACCAGTACCACTACCAATTACCAATAGGAGAAAAATTGTATGATATTTACAGGGAGGTTGCTATTTGGGGCCCAGGCATTTGTAGCCCCTCCAAGCATTACTCCTGTTTAGACAATGAGACGAGAGTTTGCAAAGAACTGTACAGTGACTGGGCTTAGAGAGACTGCTTAACCCTGCCTCTGAAAAAGGGATCACTGTTACACACATAACAGTAGCATTTGTCAATTCAGCTTTGGCGAGAGGAAGTCCTGTTATTGAGAATCTCCTTGTGAGGAAACAAATACTGTCATCAAGAAGCTTTTTGCAGGGTAAGGCTGGTTCTTTCAGATAAGAGGGAGATCCTGCTGACCCAGCCATCCCATTACTGGGTATATACCCAAAGGCTTATAAATCATGCTGCTATAAAGACACATGCACACGTATGTTTACAGCGGCACCATTCACAATAGCAAAGACTTGGAACCAACTCAAATGTCCAACAACGATAGACTGGATTAAGAAAATGTGGCACATATACACCATGGAATACTATGCAGCCATAAAAAATGATGAGTTCATGTCCTTTGTAGGGACATGGATGAAGCTGGAAACCATCATTCTCAGCAAACTGTCGCAAGGACAAAAAACCAAACACCGCATGTTCTCACTCATAGGTGGGAATTGAACAATGAGAACATATGGACACAGGAAGGGGAACATCACACACCGGGGCCTGTTGTGGGGTGGCGGGAGGGGGAAGGGATAGCATTAGGAGATATACCTAATGCTAAATGATGAGTTAATGGGTGCAGCACACCAACACGGCACATGTATATATGTACACGTTGTGCACATGTACCCTAAAACTTAAAGTATAATAATAATAAAATTTTAAAAAAAAAGAAATTCAGAGGGATTTGGAGACTCAAAGTTTTTAACCTTGTGTATGTCTGCCAAATAAAATTCCCCATTCATAAATGAATTCAATCAGATCCACAAACCAAACAACACACAAAATTTGTTTCAGTCATTCCTCTCCTAGCAATATCATCTCCTATACACTTTTAGATTCTTAAGAAGTAAGCCAAGCTGTGTCCTGGGCCTGTTGTGGGGTGGGGGGAGCAGGGAGGGATAGCATTTGGAGATATACCTAATGTTAAATGATGAGTTACTGGGAGCAGCACACCAACATGGCACATGTATACATATGTAACTAACCTGCATGTTGTGTACATGTACCCTAAAACTTAAAGTATAATAAAAATAAATAAATAAATAAACAACAACAAAAAAACAAATTATTAGTACTGTTATGCCTTCTTACTAAATTATGTACACTAAGCACAGATAAGAAAAAACTCATATCAGTAAACATAAAATGGTGGTAAATAAAATAATCTAAGTACTTTCGTACAGAATAATTTTTCATCTTCTAGCTAGATAAAAAGATAATAAAAAGAACAAGATTTTTATCTCTCACACATTTCCATAATCATTTACCATCTCTTATCTTTTCCACATTTTTTCTCGTTTAAGTAGTTTCATTTGTAATCTAACCATTTTAAAGGTATCTTCCTTCGCTATAAATATAGTACCTGTGTTTTCAATAAATAAAATTTATTTCAATCTCTTTATAATATGCAAATAATTTTAGCCTCTCTCATAAAGGTATGAATTCAATGCACATAAATTGAGGAGCAAAAAAAAAACACTAAAAAAAGATAACTACTAGTTATAAGCTCAAAGTAATATAACTTTGAAATATGCCTAATGCCTCTGCTTAAAAAAATGAATGCATGCATTAGAGTGGTTAATTAGATCTCTTTTATAAATTGTGTGTCCTGAAAACGACAGATAAATTATATCTCAATAGGAACATTATTCTAATTCAAACTAAGTGTTTAAGTAATCCAGATTAGCATTCTAATTTTATAAACATTAATTGAAGATCCACTATATGTCAGATATTGTGCTAGAAGGTTATAGTCTAGTTGGAGAAACTAATTTGTAAATAATAATAATAATACTTATAAAGCCATATGAATCAAGGAACAATCTATTGACTCACATCACCAGCCCTTTAAGACAACATATTTTTTCACAGCTATTTGACATAACTCTTGATGTCTTCCTTGCTCTCTGTATCTCCAGCTTCCTCATAGCTACTTTTCCCCCAAATCATATTACCCCTTCACAGTTCAAGCTCTGTGTGACAGATACTACCAATGGACCACCAAATTAATTGTTAACTTTTCTGCTGGGAATATACTTATTCCACATTTCTTTGTCTCCCATAATGTGAGTTGGGTCCTTAAGAATGAGTATTAGCCAATGGAATGTGAGTGAAAGTAGCATTAGCCACTCCCATGCATAACTCATAAAAAGCACTGCACTCACAGCTTCATGCTCTTTCCTACTACCAGAAGATGGAGATGTTGATACCCAGATCAACTTTGGAAGCTATGTGCTAAAGCTGGAACTTCTGCCACAAGCTAAAATTCTTGATGACTGTATGGAACAGAATCCCCCTGCCAACCAAGAAGCCCTTGGAGTATTACATGAGCAAGCAATAAACTTCTAATACATTGAACCACTGTATCTGGGGTTCCATTTGTTACAACAGTTCAGCTTACCCTAATCTACCTTTTCCATTAAACCGTATATGGTCATTCTCATTCATGTTAATCAAGCATTTGTGCATTTTACCATACAGTATGGCATTCATTTGTGGCCCCGCTCTTTTTTGTTTTAACATTTCATCACTGAACTTCTTTTGTTTTCTACCTCCTTAGTTCCTTGCACAAGGGATAATTTTAGTCCTGAACCCGAGCCTATCGTTAAAGCATAAAAGGACATGATTATAAAGCAAAAATGTTAAGTAAAAATCTTGTACTGAAGAATTAGGTTTGTCTAAAGATCTGGACTTTGCCCCAACTTCTAGGAGGTAACCAATAAACCCTTGGGAATTCCCAAATGATGGGAGTGTCTTAGCTATTCATGGTGGGTCCCTCAGATCACACAAGATGGTTTACGCTAACTCTGTGACTCATGGAGGGCCTCTAGATAGATTAATGAGAGGACTCAAAATGTGTGCTGGTCATACCAGAAACACCATGTACTTTGGGTTGGGGTTCTATGCCATATAATGTCCACTTGACCTCCAGGGAGGGAAGGGAGCTAGACGTTGAGTTCAACTGGGTTGGTGACAATTCAATCAGTCATGCCTACATAATAAAATCCCAATAAAATCTCTGGACATTAAAGTTCATATGAGCTCTCAGGGCTGGCAACACTGCATGTATACATTTCCACATATTGATGCTGGGACAGTAACATGTCACTGAGGACACAGAAACTTCACATTTGGAACCCTTCCAGTCCCAGATTTCTCCCTATGTGTCTCTTCCTTTGTCTGGTTCTGATTTGTACCTTTTGCTCTAATAAAACTGTAATCATAGGTACAGCACTTTTTTGAGTTCTGCAAGTCATTCTAGCAAATTATCGAACCTGAGGGAGTCCATGGAGAGTCTGAATTTGTGACTAGCTGACCTGAAATCAAGGTGGCCCTGGGGACCTTAGAACTTGTGACTGGTGTCAGAAGTCCTAAGCAGACTTAGCAGTCTGAAGGATTTAACCTCAAAGTTGACTAGTTCCAGGTGCTTATAAATTCTAAATTTGAACTGAAAAATATCAGTAGAAACTCATGCTATTTAAAAAATGACTTTTATACATTTCCTAAATCTGTCCATTGAAAAGGCCTAGAAGCAACGACTACCTCATAGCAATAAATACCCCTAGCACTCAGACTGTGACTACCAAATGTTATTTCTGACTAGTATCCTTGGTTAATTTCACATCTGGGACAGGACATATATACCGTGGACTAGATTATATTACTGTGCCAGAAAGCAAAAAGCCATCAAAGACTAGAAATAAATTGAGATATATAAAACTCAAATACTTAAAAAATTCCATTAGTTCATAATTCTATTTCCTAAAAGAACAAATTGATTGGCTCCCATTGTATATTGCTGGAATATCAACTCTTTATTCTGAAGACCGATAAACAAAAGGAAAACAATTAAGCAAATTTTCTTCTTTTCCTGTACAAATAGCATTCTGGATAACAAAGTTGTAGAGTTAATACTTTTAATTAAGGAAAAATTTCGGGTAAAAAACATCGAATGACCAAATTAGAAAAATCATCTTTCTGGCTCTTCCTCTTACCTTTGTATCCTCTGCCCTTTTCTTTCTCACCTCCCCTCCATTTCCCTTCCCTCTCATGTTTTTCTCTTCTCTTTCCTTCCTGAACAATTGAATCCTAAAGTCATTAGGTGAGGCAATGCAAGTAGGCACCCAGGTTGGAGGCCAGGGGAGACCCATGGTACTCCAGAGTGGAATGACCTAGGCAGGGTAAGTGTTTTAGTTATCTACTGCTATATCACAAGTTACCACAAGCTTAGAAACTTCCAACCAGACACTTTTGTCTCTTGCAGTTTCTGTGTTATCAGAATACAGGCACAGGTTGTCCACATCCTCTGCTTAGGGTCTCATAAGGCTGAAAACAGAGCTGTCAGAGCTGTCAGCTAGAGCTGTGGTCACACCTAACTTAGGAAGGATTCATTTCCAAGTTCACTCAAGTAATTAGCAGAATTCAGTATTTGTGACAGTTTGACTGAAAGTACCAATTTCTTGCTGGTTGTTGGGAGAAAACCGCCATCAGCTTCTAAAGGCTTCCCACAGTTCCTTTCCAGACAGGCTTCCCCAACATGGTTACTTCCTTCCTCATAGCAAAGAAGGGAAGAAGACTCAAGCAGGATGCCCTACAATGTTATATAGTATATACCACATAATTATGCAATTATATTCATGTAATCACATACATCCTGTCAACTTTGCCATATCAAATTAGTTTGAAGCAAGTCGCAGTTCCCATGTACACTCAAAGGGAGGGTATCACACAAGGAAATGATCACCAGGAGGCATGGATCATGAGGACTTCCTTAAAAGTCTGCCCACTACCATAAGAAATATATTCATACAGTAAGGCTGCCAATTATGGGGTGTCAGAATCCAAATAAGATCTGTCAGAATCCAGGCTCCATGCAAGTGAGTCATCTGTTGCAAGGAGTCAGACCCTGAGCAGTGTGAGAAATGCACCTTCACAAAGGGGGATGTCAGAGCAACATAATGAAGAGGACATCACACCATGGGATGACCTAGCATGGGGAGCTGGAGCATAAACATTGTAGGGACAGCTTCACCAGCAAGAGTGGCAAGGCATGGGGAGTCAGAACCCAAGCAGGGTGAAAAAAGTGTCCTTGCAAAGGGATGGCCTGCAAGGGGCTTCAGAGCTGCAGCAAGATAAAGACAGTGTCCATGCAGGTGCTCGAACTGGGTAATATGTTGGGGCCCAAGTGAAGGGAGGAGAGCATCTGCACAAGAAGGGGGTTATAATGGTGATAAACAATTGGATGCAGAATTCTGGTACATACAAAAGAAATGATTTTTTAAGTAAAATTTTAAAAATATTTCTCAGATGTATAGAATTTTAGGAGTTTTGTGGAAGGAATAAGTTCAAGAGATCAGTTGTATAACTTAGTGACTAAAGTTAATGTATTCTTGAAAATTGCTAAAAGAGTAAATATTAAGTGTTCTCACCACAAAAAAAAACATAAGAATTTAATGTATTAATTGTCTCAATTTAGCCTTTCTACAATGTGTACATATTTCAACACAACATATTGTACATGATAAACATACAATTTTTATATGTCAATTAAAAATAAATACCCCAAAAACATACCTCTTGGAGAAGAAAGTTAGAAAAAAACTAAAATGAATGATGTTAGATGAAAATGGAAGTGTTGGAGTGATTTTAAATACATTTAGATAGGCCAGGCATGGTGGTTCGCACGTGTAATCCCAGCACTTAGGGAGCCTGAGGCAGGTAGATTGCATGAGCTCAGGAATTTGAGACCAACCAGGCAATATGGTGAAATCCTGTCTCTACAAAACAAACAAAAATTAGCAGGGAATGGTGGCACATGCCTGTGGTCCCAGTTACTCAGGAAGCTGAGGTAGAAGGATTACCTGAGCCCAAGGAGGTCAAAGGGTCAAGACTGCCGTGAGCCATGACTGGGTCACAGCACTCCAATATGGATGATAGAGTGAGACCCTGTCTCAAAAAAATAAAATAAAATAAATATATTGAGATAGATATAGAAATAAATATAAGTATAAATACATGTACATATGTATGTGTGTAAATATGTAGGTGGATATGTGGAGACTTCAACAAGTTTGTGGAAAATGAAATTAAAAGCTAAAATAAAAATATAAACTTTATCCACATAAACTCAATCAAGTTCAAGACACTTGTAAGTGATGATACCAACCACTTAGTCCATCCATAAAAAACTAAATGTCCTGGGAATTTAAACATGTCAATGTAGTCTTTTTTACACTATTTACTGAAGAAAAAAATGGGTGCCCTTTAAAGATTATTTGAAATTGGAAAACTAAGAGAAGTCACAAGTGGTCAAATCAGGACTGTGAGGTGGATGCCTAATGATTTCCTAGTGAAATTTACAAAATTGCTATTGTTTGATGAGAGGAATGAGCAGAAACATTGTTGTGGTGGAGAAGGATTCTCTGATAAAGCTATCCCAGGCATTTTTTGCTAAAGCTTTGGCTAACTTTCTCAAAACACTCTCATAATAAGCATATATTACCATTCTTGGGCCTTCCAGAAACTAAACAACCAACATGACTTGAGCATCCAAAAAAAAAGCTGTGGCCATAATCATTGCTCTTAACCAGTCCACTTTTGCATTGACTGAACCACTTTCATGTCTTGGTAGCCATTTATTTGATTGTGCTTTGTGCTTTGTCTTCAGGATCATACTGGTAAACCCATGTTCCTTTTCCTATTACAATTCTTCAAAGAAATGCTTTAGGATCTTGATCCCACTTGTTTAAAATTTCCATTGAAAGCTCTGCTCTTGTCTGCAGCTGATCTGGGTGTAACAGTTTGGCACACATCAAGTGTGAAGTGTGCTCAACTTTAATTTTTCAGTCAGAATTGTGTAAACTGTACCAATTGAGATGTCTATGGTGTTGGTTATTGTTTCTGCTGTTATTTATCAGTCCTCTTTAATTAGGGCATGGACAAGATTAATTTTTCCTCACAAATCGATATGGATGGTGTGCCACTTTGGGCTTCATCTTCAATATCATCTCATTCCTTCTTACCGTGAGTTATATACATTTATAAACTGCTGATGTCTTTGGGGCATTGTCCCCCTAAACTTTTCATAAAGCATCAGTGATTTCACCATTCTTCTACCCAAGATTCATCATAAATGTGATATATGTTCTTGCTTTAATTTTAGAAGAATTTATGTTGCTCTGATAGGGGTCATTTTCAAACCGGTATCTTAGCCTTCTTAGTGCCCCAAACTAGATCCTATTCAAACAAGTTATATCAAGTTCATATGAGTTTATTTTGGGTGCAAAAGAATTTTAAACTCCTTGAATAACTTTCTCATAATATGCATTTCTCATAAACTTTTTGAAGACCGCTCATCTATGTATATGTATGTGTATATGTAGCTCTGTCCACTAAGAGAGCCTGGGAGCAGTGACATACCAATGGCAATGAGCACACCACATGTTCATATCTTGATATTTAGGTACTAATCTCCACAAAAAGGAACTAGGGCTTCTTGGAGAAATGGCTGATTCCAGGGCTTGGCAAATGAAAGCTCAAGATATGCCTGGATTATCTCCTTGTATCAGAAAATAGGTATAAAGATATAAAGGAGACATGTCAAAAAGACACAGGAGCCAACTTTCAAGGGACTCAGACCAAATCGATTTGAGCATCAAAATAAAAAAATGACAGTAACGAATTATAATTCATCAAATAAAATAGAATGAGTCATACTGCTATAAATTAATACATTGAAAATTTTTTGAAGAGTTGTATAGTCACATAGTTTCAGACTATCTCTTCACAAAATATTAAGTAATCACAAAGGAGGAAAGAGTAACTTCACAGTGGCAAAGTCTGACAGATATTGCCTTAATCAAATGATGAAAGTGAACATCATCAGTAATGGTACAAATCAAAATCATGAGCTACCTGATAAGATGCAACAAGCGAACAGCATCACTTTTGTGATATTTCTGCCAAAGATGCATAACCTAAATCTAATCATCAGGAAATACAGCCGAATACTAATTGAAAGACATACTACAAAATAAGTGGCCCATAATCTTCAAAAGAGCCAAAGGCATTAGAGGCAATGAAGGACTGAGGAACTGTTCCAGATCAAAAGAGACTAAAGAAGCATATCAACTAAAGATGATGCATAATTTTCAACTGGATCTTTTTGATATGAAGGATAACATTGAGATATTTGGCAAAACTCGAGTGGAATCTGAGACTACATCATAGCAATATGTTTATATTAATTTGCTAATTTGAATGTCTGAGTTCTTGTTGAATAGGAGAATAACCTTGTTTGTAGGAAATGCACACTAACATATTAGGGAAGGGTTGGGCATCACATCATTAGCAAACTTTCAAAAGTACAGGAAAAACAACAGTTTTCTGTACTGGACTGTACTTCCAACTTTTCTACAAGTTTAAGATTTGTTTACAACAAATTTTAGTAAGAAAAAATTTATTATTTTGCAGCCACAATTAAATGGTTAATCTAGACAAAAATCGACAATGAATACTAGACTATAAGGTATCTTTTAAATATGGTATCTTATAGTTTTAGCTTGCATACGGTCTTTCTTATAATGACGTCATAAGTCAGAGACGCACTGTTTGCTAATGAATTCATTATTAAGACCTTTGAAGCCATAGGAATAAATTATTTATATCCTAAAGAGATACAAGTGTTCCAGCATGATGGAAGGTAAAAAAAAAAATCTATGTAGAAAATCAATGAAATATTCAAACATGTATTTCATTGAAAAATGAAATTACTCAATAAGCAAAAAAAATCTATTAATGATTTTCTAAGGAAAGTAATCTTATTCCAATTGCAAAACATTTCTTCACAATGGGACTAGCAGAATATCTTTAACACACTAAGGACCAAATAACTGTTCTATATAAGTGAAAAGAAGATTACAAATAGAGGGGCATAGAAGCTAGTCTGGAGGCCTTCCTTAAATCATGTATATTTTCTATTTAAAACATGCAACACAAAAATTCATACTGAATTATTTCACCAAAAATTTACTGGGTTCATTATGCCCAATCTAGAACTGCTAATTCTGAATATCAAAGTGTCTAATGTAACTTGCCCCACACCACTCAACTGTTAATACCCAGTAGTAAAAACAAAAGGCTGCTAATTAAACATTCAAGTTTCCAGCAGCTTTCGTGTTAGTCCCTTTCCTCTCTACCTTTTCTCTTAAATGGCTGTGCAGGTGAATAAAGGTAATCTTTGGAAGTGAGACCCATAGACAGAGCAATTTAAAACAAATATAGAGTGGATCGAGTTTCCTGCAGAGGAAAGAAACATTATAGAGCTATCACTGTGTGTGGAATGAATCTTCTGGGCTTAATATTTCATGTTAACTTTTTTCCTGCTGGAATTTATTTTAGAAAAGTCAAGCTAAAACATTCCCCTTTGGATCCAGGTGTGTCCTTTACTTTTGTCCTCAATAGGAGTTCCACACATACAGAAGTAGAAATTGGCTTTTTTACAGTAGATCGATAAAAGCTTTGCGGGAGTGAGCAGGATGCCTCCCAGAAACATTTCTGTCTTTATATCTCATAAAATGACCTCGATATCTAGAAGAAAAAATATTCTCTCTATTTTCCTATCCACTTCTATTTTCCCATCTCACAGAGACTGCACATCACTTACACCATGCAATACACCATGACAGCTAGAAGAGAGATTTATCACATTCTGATACTTCTCAGTTTAGAGAAATCCTGCCGCTGTTCCATATCAGAAGCATGCATCCAGAGAATAGAGAGAATGAACTCGAATATTCAATAAAACTAAATATGCTATTAAACAAGTCGGTAATGTATCCCCTGTCCTGCTTTTTCCTCATCTTCTGTTCCTCAATCTCCATATTCCCTTCTCATTCAATTCTCTTTCTCATATATATGTACAAAATTTAGCATACTGTATTTCAGAATTGTGTTCACTAAGTATTAACTACCAGTGTTTATTATTAAAGATAAAAGATATCTCCTTGGAAAAATTGATACAAATAATGTATAACTTTCAAATAAATTATACTAGAATTAGTGAAAAAAATTTAAATTTTATCTTTACACATAACAATTTCCCGGAAAATAATCAGACTAAAAAGACTGCAGGCTAGCATGTCATGGCTTTCCATGAAATAAATAATTTGATGAGAACTCTTGTAATTGGAATCTAGATGTCCTGACACACACAATCTCAGAACTATATTTTTTAAGCTAGCAACAAACTAAAAAAAGAAGAAAATATGGGCTACATATTAAAAAATCTTGACTGACCTTTTTAGTTTTCTCAATATCTTTCAATAATATAGTTCTCATTTCAAGGCTGTCTGTGTGTGTGTGTGTGTGGTGTGTGTGTGTGTGTACAACTGAAATAGTACCATAGAAAAGCCAATGCAAACTTGGCAGTTCCTGAATGAGGCTTGAAGACACCTTTCCGCAGCCTTCCTTTAGATTAGTACTGAGTTCAGTACTCCCAAACAACTTTCAGCACCTGAGTTAGCTCACTAGCCTCAAAACTTACCTGGATCATTCATATCTAAATCTTTGTGTATACATTTTTACTACTTGAATTATCTGTTCCTGTGTTTCCAGTATGATAGATAGCCATTAGCCACATGTGGCTATTTAAATTTTAATTAACTAAAATTACATAAAATTTAAATGTCAGTTCCTCTGTCATATTTGCTTCAAGTGCTCAATTGCCACATGTGGCTAGTTGGTACCATACTAGACAGTACAAATATGAACACCCCCATCATCACAGTAAGTTCTAGTGGACAGAGCTGATCTATACTGCCTTTATCTTTGTGCATACTGTTTGTCATTGTGCCCAGGAACCAATACAAACCCTGTCCAGCTAAATTGCACACATACTTCAGCACTTGCACACTAATGTTGACTCTCACTATTCTAAACTCCATAGCTCTTGTTTTAATGGCCATTTGTCACTCCAATAGTTCTTCATATTACTAAACTTTTTGTATATATCTTTTCTCATTAACTATATTCATTTAATCTTCAAATATTCACCAAGTACTTCACATGGTAGGCACTGTTCTGAGTTCTGGGAGACCATGTTCATCAAAACAGACAAGAACATGAGCTCCTTCCAATCAGAGCCAATGCTTCTTTGATTTCTCTAGTCCCTACAACAAAGTAAGGATACAGTAAGTGAATGAAAAAGATATTCACCATGTAGCAATAGAGGTCTAAGTTTAAAAGAAATATGGACAACAAAAATAGGGAATATTTTGACAGGAAATAATTTGATGCCTTCCCATTGGGCTTACTGTCTAAGTTACATATATATGTTCATTGGGTCACTTACATAATATTTTATGATTACATTTATGACAGTATTCAACCCACTGCATCATTTTCAGAATTTTTTAAACATCATCAAGTTATTAAGGCAATTAACTATCACATACATGAGGCTATCTGCTGAACTCTTTCATAGAAGAGAATATTTATCTTAATCATAAAAGGTGAAGCATAATAGTTACAATAAAGGCTAAGCTACTTTTAAAAAGTGAGAAAAATTACTGGCCTATATAAGGTATAATTTACTTATCTTTCATATAATGATCCCAAGGCGAGTGTTCAAGGTTGCTGAAGTGGCCTTGATCCACAAGGTCCTTCAGGCTCATAGGTACCTTTCACCTTATTGCTTTACCACTTCCCCTAAGGTATTATTTTCATCTGCATGGTTGAAGCTGGGTCACAAGCACATTATGTTCTATTTACAAGAAGGAAAAAAATAGAGGAAACCCAGGGTACTTTTTATTTTTAAGAAAATTAGGCAAAAATTGTCCAAATCACTTCTATTTCCATTCCACTGGTGATAACTTAGTTTGTGAGCACCAGCACCCTTGACCAAGAGTCCTGAGAAATGTAGTCTCTAGTTGTTTGTTTGTTTGTTTGTTTTGTTTTGTTTTGTTTTGTTTTGTTTTTGAGACGGAGTCTCGCTCTGTCGACTAGGCTGAAGCGCAGCGGCACGATCTCAGCTCACTGCAAGCTCCACCTGCCAGGTTCCCGCCATTCTCCTGCCTCAGCCTCCCGAGTAGCTGGGATTACAGGTGCCCGCCACCACGCCCTGCTAATTTTTTATATTTTTAGTAGAGACGGGGTTTCACCTGTATTAGCCAGGATGGTCTCGATCTCCTGACCTCGTGATCCGGCCTCCTCGGCCTCCCAAAGTGCTAGGATTACAGGCGTGAGCCACCGCGCCCGGCCTGTAGTCTCTAGTTTTGTGGCCATATGCTGAGAGAGAGAGAGAGAGAGAGAGAGAGAACAATAGAAGGAAATTGGGAGCAAAAAAATCACCTGCCAATCAATTTACTTTAGCTGTATTATCTGTAGAAGCTGATGTCTTAGATTATTATTCCATTTATACATAACACATTAGGGAACTACCAAAAGGCTTCTAATTCTAAGCCTATGCCTGTTGAAGAAAGCACTATCATGTTCTGTTCAGAATTCACATTGTCAGTTTCCAACATTTTACATATGCCCTGGAAGAGGACTGGTAAAAGGAATGTTTATCAGTTAATGAGTTTTAATAAATGTTATTGATTTACTATATTACTACTTTATAAAACATATGGGCCTGCCTCAAAGCTCATATGATTTCAAAGGATAACAGCAGAATGCAGCAAACAGAATTATAAATGCATTTATAATTCTTAAATAGTGCATTTAGCATTAGCTCAGATGAAATTATAAAGTATGCAATATATGACATCTCTCTTTTTTCCCTATTTCAACATTCAGCATCTTCCCAAGAATAACACCAGTTCTCTTTAAAGGCTCCTCTCTTCTTAGAAAAAAAACAATATGTATGAAAATCTCTAATACCTGAGTAAGTTTATTCCAAGTACTAGCCTCCAAGAGAATATTCATACTTTAATAGATGTTCTGGAGACAAAAAAAAACTGAATCTGTAGTGGTATCATTTTAGGATACAGACCTCTAGATGAAGGAAAGTAATCTGATCCTTTCTGGATCTTCCAAATAATAGAATATAAGGATACAGCTCATTATAATCCACGCATAGCCTGACCTGCCTGAATTCACATCATTTAACCAACAATGTTTGAATCCCCTGTTTCTTGAACAACTTCACATGTGCAGTTTTCTCTGGTGACCAAGTTTGCCCACCAGCTATACCATACTTTGACATTGCCACCCAGGACAAACTGTTGAGTCTGATGCTTCCTTAGAACAAATGATTATGGTCTTAGAATTCTAGTTTATGGCAATGACCCAGAAAATGATAAGAATATTGCCTGCTGGCAACCTTGAAACATATGTCTCATTGAACCCAGTCCTTGGCAATGTCACTCAGACTCAAATATTAATCCACAAACTTGTCTCAGCTGGCAGCTAGGTTGCAACGAATACAAACAGATAGGTAGATAGACACATAGATTGATACATACATAAATAAAAAGAGATGTGATTCATATTCATTTCTCTAAATCCCATAATTATTCAACCATATTCAAAGGTTGGTTAAAAAAAAAACATTTGTTATGATGGTGTTAGAAGACTTTTAGGAATAAGATCTTAATAAAGAAAAATACAGTGTTCTAGGTTTTTATTGTGACGTAAACTATTATTATGATCTCTCACATTTCTACCTTGACCTAAACAGCCAGACAGTTTTTTGGAATCTCTGACTGATTGCATTCAGAAAGAACCTGGGGCTGAATGAATCCTCTGAAGGCTCTGTTGGACTAACATCCAAGATGGCTCACTCACATGGCTGACAATTGATACTGGCTGCAGGATGGCGCATTCACTGGAGCTGTTATCCAAGCCTCCTACACATGGCTCCCATGGGGCTTTAAGCCCTACATTATGGTGGCTTCATTCCAAGAGCATCAATTCCAAAAGACAAGAGTAAAAGCTGCCATTGCCTTAAGATATAAACCTGAATACTTGCACTGCATCATCTCTGCCTTATTCTATTTTCAAAGCAGCCACAGAGGTCACCCAGATTCAAATGAGGGACTATAGCCTCCACTTATCAATGGAGAAGTGTCAAAGTATTTATGAACATCTTTAATTGGTCACACATGGCTATATACTTATTGCAGATGTAAGGAACAGCAAAAAGATTATTAAGCAACTTTTCTTGTAATAGCAGGTAATTAAACTAAAAGTGAATTTTAAAACAAAATAATTGACTTTCAATTACTTCAAATGAAGTTCATCTTGCCTCTGAGGAATTTTTAAAGTCCTGTTATGATTATTATTTTGTAAGTTATGAAGTTCTCTTTAACAGAACCAAAAGCTTAATAATTAAAGTAAGATCCTAAGGTAGCAATAGATATAAAAAATAAAAACTTAATGGTTAAAGTCAGAATACCCTAAATTGTATGGAAAGAAATAATGAACAAGTCTTTTATGAAAAGGCAACAAGGATAAATTTAAATTAATACATCAGCTACCACCTGTTCATCATTCAAAGTGAATTTTAAATAGAGAGATCTAATTTCCCCAAAGATATACCAATTACACATAGAACATTTGTAAACAAAAAGGCACCATGTCAGAAACAGACTGTTTGCCAATTCCATTTTCCCTTTCTAGCCCTCAAGAAGACTACATATCCTTGCTTCCTTTGAAGTTAGTTAGGGCTACGTGATTGGGTCCTGCAATGTGTACAGAATTGATGAGTGCAACTTCCAGAACTAGCCATAAACAACCTGTGTGATTCTGCATGCTTTCCTTCTTGGCTTCTTAGACAGGCAGATGAAAGAGATCCAGTGGAAGACTCCTAGTAGCCTCTGAGAGTCAACAGAGACAAGTCACCCTCTGGTACAGCTATGCCCTGTCAACCACTTGATATAATCAAGACAAAAAAACATTTGCTGTGCTAAGCCACTGTATGTATGGGTGTTGCTTGTTATAGCCATTTGCATTATATAGACTGATTAATGTATTTAAGAAAGTAAAAGTTAGTATCCCAACTCCATCCTAAAAGAGACACTACAATCACTTCTATTGGAATGTCCAATATCTTAGAAATTCAAAGTTGACAGGAACCATAGATGTCATCTGGCTGATCTAGTTACTCGATGCCAATAACCACGCACTATCATCAATGAATAAAACACTTATAAACACCCTGACTCAGAAAAATATACATTGAGAGAAGCAGGAGTGTGGAATCTTGTGTTGCCATGACAACAAGAATCTAATTCCACTTCAAAAGGATCACCAGCTCCTGTATGAAAAATAAACTTCTCTTCCAAGCAAGGTTTTTAAAGTGTTACATGTAGAAAGGAAAGTACTGAACATCTCACTCTAAACAACTGATTACGCTTTTTGGTACCATCAATACCAACTATGATCGATAATAGTAAAAACCAGTTTGGTTTCCTTAGGTATCCCTAAAATGTGAATGCCAACAACAAAATGAAAATTCCAGATAACATTTCATCTGCCAGGGAATAAAGTAGCTTTGCCTTGAATGATAATAATCATGCAAGCTTGGTAGTTTCCTCAAAATGAAACGCTTTGATCTGATAAACTAACCTTATGTATAAACTCGTATTCTAAAAGCCTTGCTGCTTTAAGTAAATACATGATTACATCAACATTGCATGATACTGAAGTTCTTTGAAGTTGTGTGGTAGCAATATTATAGATATAGGTCATTTTCGAATTTTAAATCCTACAGATCATTCAGTCCAAATTAGGAAATTGAGACTCAGAGATGCCTAGTAACTCAACTAAAGCCACAAGGTAAATTAATGCTTTTTTGTACTATTTTACCATTTTTATATTACTACACCGTTGATACTATTTTTTACTGTACAGTGTTTTCTATTAAAAGTAATTAAAGTACACATACTTCCAATAATTACTTTAGAATGCTTACATAGTCAATATCATAATATCTAGGTTTTTAAAAATCTTTTGCCAAAATTATACTTCAGCATGTAGCAGTAACTTCAAAGTAATCTAACTCTAAGAAGCTTATGAAACAATAAATTTGTCTCTTAACTGTTTTAAACTTCTTCTTTGTCCTTTACTGTCCTTTGCAAAAACTAATGCTGTAAAACTTTATCAAGTTGTATTAACTGTAAAAAAAATCTAATAAAAAATTGCCATTAATATGTATCTCATTATAAATATAACAAAATTCAGGTGTACAGCATTATTATTCCAGTTGCATGCATTAACGGAGTTACCCAACATTAAAGTCCTGCTATAATGAATATACAGAAATAATTTTTAAATTATTGAAGAACCTGAAATTGAATTTATGTATTTATAAATAGCAATTACACTATATTACATTTGGAGTGTTTCTAAGCTGACTGAAAACAATTCATTTATCTAATTAGGTAGATACAACACCGAAATTACATTTACTGTTAATTTCTTAGTATTTTTTTCTTTGAAAATATAAATGTAAATATCTGTTAAGCCTGTATTCAAATTAATGTAAATACATAATCAATGAAATTCCACATAAAATATTTTTGTATATTAATAATGACAACATTTAAATGACAAGAAAAATTAACTGTGGAGGAAATATCTATCCTCGCATTTTCAAAAATGCAAAGAATAGGGAAGCTTAACAAAAAGCTTATAAACAAATAAGTCTTTTCCGTGAGCCCTTCGTAAACCCTAATTATTCTTTAAGCCTTAGCATTGAAAAATAATCAATTTAAAAAACAGATCCATCAATATTCTGCCTCAGGTAATTCCTTATTTATTTTAGGTAAAGGTGGAAGAGCAAAACTATGGAGAGGGACAAATATATGGATTGATAATATATGAGCTTCCCATCTTTTACCACTACTAGAACCTTGCTTTTCTCGAGTTTTTCTTTGTATCACAGCCAACATCATAAAATAGATAGACCAACCTCCTCGCAGTTTCCCCAAACACACACACACAAATGCTGAAAGGAAATCTAGTCTTAACTGTCATTATTTGGCATGTATTAGGAACAAGGTCTGAATAAAAACAGAAGCAATGAGCTAGACATACCTACCAGCAGTTCATTTCCTATGCCATATCGAATTTGGTATTTATTTAACAAATGTCTTCTTTGATTTAACCCTTTTTCCATCCTAATAAAGTTAGTATGGCATTGAAAAGAGATTATCATTCTTATCTTTATCACAAAACAGAAATAATAAATATTCAAATGGAAAAAATAATTTTGGCAGCGGGAGAAGATTTACAAATTGTCCCTTTATCTAAAGAACCATACAGTCTCTTTATTCACAGACATACCTGTGTGGAATTACTGACAGAATAACAGGAAAATATGATAAAATCATCATCATCATCTATACTTGAGACTGGCCAAAGATATTTGTCTCTATCTCAGTGTAAAAATCTCAACACAATCAAAATGTTGTAAGGTTTTTTTGTGTTTTCTGTTTGGTTTGGTTTCAGAATAATGCATCTTGTCCACCTAATGTAATGGAAATCAGTGATAAAATGTTAAAGTGAAAATTGAAAATTCAAATTTAATTTTAAAAATTTATTTCTATTTTTAATATAACTAGAAGATCAAGTTTTCTTAACACCATCAATCACATTCTCTTTGGAACACCAAGGTCCAACCCTAATGTGGGAACTTAGGAACCAGTCCATCTCTTTGCCAGTTTGGTGGCCTTGGGGAAAAAGTTGTCTGTTAGCTTTCTCTCTATATCCTTTGCCCTTCAACTTTTCTCCTCCATTATTTACCCTGAGAAACCTGGCAATTTCTCTATAAAAAAGAAGTGGTCATGATGGAAATATTCGATGTGCAAGACTAAAATCTAATAATAGAAAAATTGGGGCATTATGAGTAACTCATAACCTAGGAACTAAACAGGAGTAAATTGAGGACAAAATGACTGAAATACATGAAAACAAATGGCCGTAGTCCATGGATATATTTTTAAGGACTAAAAGAAAATAACGCTTCTAATCCCATCTCTCAGTATTCTTACAACTAATACTCAGTTATTGAGCATGTCTTGCAACATTTAGATGTGTAAGGAAGGAGATACAAGTGGCTCCTGTCACACTCTGGCCAATGTTTAGTGTGTTTTCAATGGCAGTCTTTAGGGACACTGGTCAGCTCCCTCTGGCATCTCTTTTACATTAATGAAAAATAGTAGATGCCATGTTAGATTAGAAACCCCTCTAATTAAGAAATACAGAAGAAAAGAAGGAGCATCCATGACTCTTGAGCAATGAATGCCTCAGATTTTATCTATAACTGGGTAGTCTGAACTATATTACTTAAGTTTACTTAGCAAGTAAAGGATGAAATTTGTTTAATCCATATTTTTGCTTAAAGAGAGGGCAATGAGGACAGTAAAATCCAACCCCTTCAACTTTACCAAGCCACAGAAAAACACCAAACCAGACTAGAAAAAAGTGTAATCCCCCAATGTAAATCATTAAATTTCTAGATTTATCTCCTATATGGAGAGAATTTAAGAATACACATGAGGATAACTGCAAAATAATGCAGCAGCACTTCCAAATCTAATGAAATGTTATTTTAAGTGTTTTATAATATGGTTATATAGTATATAACAAGATCTAATTTGCATATAAAACAAATGTGTTTATTTGCAATATGTTATATAATAATTTTATCCTATTATAGTTTTCACTTTGGCAACAAATATACTTAGACACATTTATTACTATCCAGAGGTCTAAATAATGTTCATTGAAATCTTGGGCATAATAGAATGCCTCAAATAAATAGTAGCAAATGCAGAGCTTTATGACCAAAAAAGAAATAAATTAATAAATTAGATATACCTGAAAAACATATTTAATACACTGGAAAGATACTGTGCTGTGAACACGCAACTTTAGAATTAATAAAACACTGCACATACCCCAAACATCTTTATGTAAAACCAAAGCCTGTGATAACTAGCCCTGAAGACATTCATGCATACCTGTGCATATTATATCTTGCTGTAAGTGAAAATTAGTTACTCATATCATTTAGCACTATCTGAAAGCCTGTTTTTTAGAAAGAAAATAGGCACACTCAAGCAAGCAGATTATAGATAACAACAGAGTTCCTTTTGGTTATTCTTTATCTCCACTATTATAGGTCTTTCTCACTCAGTTCATTCTTGCTGGGTAAGGTACGAAGGGAAGTAAGATAAACAAGTCCTTTTCCAAAGATGTTCACTTGCTCTAAAAGCTATCATGAATTTAATTAAGTGCTACCCACCAATTCTCTGACCACTTTCTTAAAAAAAACCTTAAAAAGCTGCTTAGCTTTTATATAAATGTTTAGAGTGTCCCAGATCTACCTTTAAGAAAGGCCAAGAATGTCTCCCACATTCCCATTATTGGTTTGTCTGTGTTTGAATTCTAAAGACTCTCTAATTTTCAAGGCAGCCTGCCACCACCAAAGAGAAAGAGAGACAGAAGATAATATTAGGAAGAAAAAAAGGCAAACAACCTCAAGAAGAATTGAAAAGAATGAGAAGACAATTGCCTAGATGAGCCTTCCTTTTTCTTTTACTTTGAGATTATTTATCTCATCTTTACTCAGAATCTTTCCTTCCTTGTTATCTAATTTCCATTATATTTACTTTTGGCCATGAGATGATGTCTAGTTAATCTTCCTAGTATATACATCTATGTCAGGTCATTAAATTATATCCCTTGGCCTGCCCTGCCTAACACATTCCTCCACAAACACAATAACCTCAAAGTATTACTTAGATTGGGAAGCTAAGACCCAAAGAGATTGAGCTTTGGCCATTGTCTTAAATGTTTACTTCTTTGTTTGACGAAATATTGGGTTTTTTATATCTTGCACATATTGCCAATTAACCCTAACACAACACCAGTAAACTAGTAAGCTCTATCAAGAGAGACGCTCAAGTTTCTCTGGCGGTCATCCAATGAGTATTTCCTTTTAAGAGAAGTTTCAATGCTGTCTCAGTGTTAAGACAAAAAGAAACAGGAGGAGAAAGATTGGCAACTCAGAAATATTTTCTAAGTATCTCAGATAGCAACAACCTCATTAGTTATTTCTATTTCTGATTCTATTAAATCCTTTTTAAAATTTTAATGAAAAAACACAGTATTTAGGATTTTTGCCTAAAGAATGTCCTATATGAATCCTTTCATTTTATTTTTCTCCTAGAAGTAAAACAATAGTTCAAACTGAGAAAGGAACAGAAATGAGACCCATATATAATGGCTTTGTCTTCTCCTCAACATTCTTCACCTTTATCTGTTGAATTTTTCTGAAAACTACTGATTTAAAACATGTAACTTGCCCTTTTACTCCCTCATTCTTTTGTATCTGTATTTCTTTCAACACATTATACATTGTTGCACATATTAATTGTATTTTTTTAAAAAAATCTATGAGAATAAATGTATTTTTGATTTAAATATGTTCTTTTCCATCTCTAGTTTAAACCTGTAGGCGATGCATTGTGATTAGTTATCTGAAGTAAGCAAATGAGCCTTTGGAGCCAGCTCCTTATTCAACAGGGAGAGATTTTTCAGGACGGTGATAGAATTGATAAACTATGGGACTGAGGACCTCTGCTGGCTGTTTTGTGAAGTGATTTTTTTTTTTTTTTTTTTTTTTTATTTAACTGTGATGATGAAATTATCCTATTTAATCTAAATATTCCTTTTTACTGAGAATTCTTTAATTGCCATCCAAAAACCTTATTCATTGGTTCAGTCTCATTGTAAAAATCTGAGTCTTTAATTTCCACAACAGTTGCTTTACCTTTTGGAAAATAATACATGAAAGTTAATATTATTGGATGAAAATATCATTAATATTATTGTTTTAAAGCAAATTAAACTTGTTCATGAATAATGCCTTAATTTTTCTTTAAAGTGATAGCTGCATATAGATGGATAGCTAGATGGTAGATAGATAGATAGATACTGGTTTATGTGTAGAGTATAGACACATCATTACAGTATAGAACATAGAATTTAGTATAAAATCAAATAAAATGTTATGAGAATAACTACAGATATTTCTCACTTTTCAGAAACTAGAGTTTTTTCATATGTAATGTATACCTAGATAGCCTTGGAAGCCAGGTTTTATCTAAATGTCCTGTACAATTATTTTAAGCTTGAAACTGCAATTGCACTGATCACCTTTCACTCCACTTCACCACTACTACTCGCCTGTGCGTTAATTCTATTATTTATAAACTCATAGATTGTTATGACTGAAAGAGGCCTTATAAGTCACATAATCTAACCCTTTTATTTTACAAGTAAAATATCTGAGACTTATGGAGGTGAACAGCAGCCTCTGCCTGTTCTTGCCAAGTCAGGGTGAAATGAATAAATAACTCCCAAAAAATTCTCATGTTCCAGAGGGATATTGCCTCAATCAGGAGAAAGGAACAGCAGATTTGAAGCCCTGGGCTACAATAACCTAGTCTTGTTATGAATACAGGAAGACCTAATCCAAGCCTGATTCCAAGAATTCAAGCTGGTAGGAAGAAGTTTGGAGCCAGGGTCCAGAAGCAATGATAATTGTAACTGACATTATTGAGCACTAAACATATGCCAGACAGGCACAGTTCTAAGCACTTGATATTGGATAGCTCATGTAACAATCGCAGCAATCCTGTGAAATGGGTATGGTTGCTAGTACAATTGAGGAAACTGAGGCACAAAGGTTGAATATTTGAATCCCCCTTTATAGACCTTAAGGGACCATAGAACACTAGATTTTTAAATTCTGACTTAGTCTAACCTTCGCTGTTCACAGTTTATATGAAGTTATTTGTCTCACACTTCTGTACTCAAAGCAAAGATGCTGGCCTTGTAAATGCCAGTACTGTCCAATGAAGATGCTGGCCTTGTAAATGCCAGTACTGTCCAATGTTCTCACACGATGGCACACATAGAAAATCATATTGTATGGCACATGGGCATAAAAAGGGGAGCCTTCGCAAGACCAGAGGTGACCAGCTCCAAGAATTCAGCCTCCCAGACCTCACCAAACCTCCGAAAGAGTGTAAAGGAATCAATATCTAAAAACATCTATGCCAAATTCCTAGCTTACCAGTTGAGAAGCCCTGGCTCAGAGTCCTCCAATAAATAAAGTATAAATTGACCTTTTGGCTGGGCACAGTGGCTCGCACCTGTAATCCCAGCACTTTGGAAGGCCAGAACGGTGGATCACTTGAGCCAGCAGCTCCAGACCAGCCTGGCCAACTTGGTGAAATCCCATCTCTACAAAAAAATATGCAAAAATTAGCCATGTGTGGTGGCTCATGCCTGTAATCCCAGCTACTTGGGTGGCTGAGGCACGAGAATCTCATGAACCCTGGAGGCAGAGGTTACAGTGAGCTGAGATCGGGCCACTGCACTCCAGCCTCAGCGACAGAGCTAGACTCTGTCTCAATCAATCAACCAATCAATCAATAAACTGGCCTAGGATACTAGTGCTTAACTTTCCTTCCCACCGCTAGATCCACTTAAAATTCTTACTGCCTACTATTAGCGCCCACTTACTACAGATTTAAACCATCACCTCCCAAATCTTCAAAATGATAGTTACATGTATTAGTTATTGATTGCTGCATAACAGATTAATCCAAGCTTAGGCACTTAAAGGAGAAGTATTTATTATCTCACAGTTTGGGTGGGTCAAGAATTCAGGAGCAGCTTAGCTCAGTGGTTCTGGCTTAGGATGTCTCACGAGGCTGCAATCAAAGTGTCAGCTGGGGCTGCAGTTATCTGAGGCTTCACTAAGTCTGAAGGATCTGCCTCCAAGCTCAAGCACAGAGTTATTAGCAGGAAGCTTTAGCTCCTCACCACATGAGCCACCCATGTTCCTCATATAACATAGCTTTCCCCACAGCAAGTGATATGAGTAAGAAAGAAAGAACCCCAAATGGAAATTGCAATCTTTCTATCACCTAACCTCAGAAGAGACACTTCTGCTGTATTTTATTGTCACAGACCAGCTCAGATACTACGTGGGAAGGAACTACACACAGGGGTGTAAACACCAGGAGGTGGGGTCATTGAGTGTCATCTCAGAGACTGGCCACCACCCTAGTGTTCGACTGTCCACTTTGTTACAAGAACTTTAGGTTTGTATTTATGTCATTTAATTTTTACAACACTGATATAAATCTCTCCATTTTATGGCTGCAGAGACTAAGACCAAGGGCAGTTAATTGCTCAAGTTTACACAGGTAAGTGGCAGAAAAGAATGCCAAAACAAAGCCTATTTGTCTCAAGGCTCACATTCTTTTCAACTTTTTACTCTATTTCCATGCTATGCTTGTCTTTCCAAATCTCAATTCTCCTAGCCCCCAATTTCATATATATACCCCCCTTCACCTCCTTTTCAGTTCTGAACATCATTCTATATTTGGTCCATTCTTGCTGCCAATTCCAAACTCTCTAGTAACTTAGATCAACAGCACTTCCTTAAACATATTTAATTCCATCTCATTATGTATCAAAATATTATTGTAACTTTAGTAATAGCTGTTGGTAAAAATACTGTACAAGAAAAAGGTGTAAAAATGTTACAGAACAAACTTGAAAAATATCATTGTTTCATTCGTGTGTTCCACTACCGGTAAACATAGGCTAAGGTTTCAATTAGGAGGGAGAATGAAGCAAAGTGGAGGTTCCGCTGATTTGATTATCATTTGTTTCCTGAAGACAAATAGAAGACTGTTGATTAAACAGATGAGCAACAATCTACAGGATAAAAGTGGGCCTGCAGAATGTCAGGTGGCCATATAGGTTTTCACTTCAGAAAAAAGCAGGAGTCAAATGTGAAACATTGTCTCACTTCCTTACACTTCCGTTTATTAACTAGACCAAATGGTTCTTTTACTGAACTGGACTGGTATTTATTCATTAAAGGAATATCACCACTTGGAAGAAACCAATCTGAAAATTTTCATGTATATCCTTCCAGAATTTTCAAGACATATATTAAAATATTTATAATCTTTTTTACAGTAATAGAATAATATTATCCCTAGCCATTTGTAGATTACATCTCCCATTTAACAATATATTGGGAAATTAGTTAATTGTGAATAAGTAGAGATATATAACAATTATTAGTGGTTTTATGGTGTTGCATTATATAGACTTATCCTGATTAACTAATTTCTACCAATAGTCATCTAGGTTTTTCTGATTTTTTTATACTCAAAAATTATGCCATAATACAAACACACACATTGCACTTATCTGACTATTTTTTAATAAATTTCTACAGGTACAATGGCTGGCTTAAAAGGTATGCATATGTAATTGTTTGATACAAAATGTCAAATTCTAGAAATAGTGTACAAATCACATAGCACACTAAACTACCTATTATATATATTTTTTAATCTTGATCTTGGAGTCAAGTATATATGAACACTTGTATGCCTATAATATTTATAACTTGCCTTTCTATTTACATAACTGTTAAAATGACAATATTTCTTTCCAACTTCTAAGTAGCCTATTAACAAAATATTGGTAACAAGTGTGCATTTTATATGACTTTCATAATGTTTATAAACCAGCTGTTGTTGCTTACAAACTGTTGATAAATAAAACTACAATACCCATAGTGGCTAATTGTTGAGTAGAATAACCTGATCAATGATTTGTTTTGCACCTACCTGCCTTAAAACTTGAACAGAGTCACTGATAGAGAAAATACTTACTCACGGAGGGTGAAACTGTTCTTTCCCTCTCCTATAGAACTTTTATAGTTACTTTGGAAGGTAAGTGGTATTCAAAGTTAAATATACTTTTATTCAAAATTTGATTTTTTAATACACTTTTATTCAAAAATTGATTTTGTCTCAATTTCTCCATTGGCACTTGAATAATAGCTGCCTGGCAGAAAAATAATGTGATATACATTAGATAATTAGTAAATTCCCCACATACAAGTTCCAGGCACTTTATACTATTGTAATCACAACCTCATTATGAGACAAGTAGGAATATTATGAAGAAGAAACTGGTGTGACAAAAATGTAATAGTCAGTGGTAAAATTACCAGAAAAAGAAAACTATCATAACTTAGATTTTCCCACTTCATACTTTAGCTATCAAATAAATGGCCCTTGAATAGGAAATGATCATTACCTTAACTAATTAGTGACTCTTTGTTTGTGACAGGATCTAAAATAAAACTCTGTATCTTAGATTTGGTTTAAGCCCTTGGACAAGAGGTAGCAATCAGTCTCAAATTCCAAGGAAAGATTTGAGACTACCAAAGCAGGACTTGTGAATGAGGTGCCTGAAACTGTTTTGATCCCCCACCCCAGGCTCACTGTGAGGCCACACAGACCCTTAGCTGAGAGATTAAAGCAGGAAGAAAAGGAAAGGTGACAATTAGAAGAGATTAGGAAGAGGAAGGTTGTTATGGACCAATAAGCACATAGTAGAACCACCCAGAAGCCTATGGAAAAAGATGCTGATGCCTAGTCAGAAAGCTTGACATAAGTCCTCTGGAGTTTGGGGATCACAGCTGCCTAACATAAAACTCACACATGATAAATCTGCCTGGCCAATCTCTTTGAAGGCAGAGTCAAGAGAGATTGTTCCACTGGACTTGATGTGGTCATGGCTTGAGAAAATTGGCCTGGGTGTTGTCCTGACCAAGAAGATTGCCTGAATACATGAGATAACCCAGCAGGGAGTAAACTTTCTAGATTCCTAAGAGGTGGAGGAGGAGCTACAAACATCCAGAAAATGTATTCACTGACATCAAGAAAATACAGGTGCAAGATCTCCAACAATGGCATGTGTACTAGTCCATTTTCACACTGCTATAAAGAATACCTGAGACTGGGTGGTTTATGAACAAAAACGGCTTAATTGACTCACAGTTCTGCATGGCTGCAGAGGTCTCAGGAAGCTTACAATCATGGTAGAAGTGGGAGAATCAGGCACCTTCTTCACAACGCAGCGAGAGAGAGAGCGAAGCGGGGAACTGCCAAACACTTTCAAATCATCAGATCTGTGTCCACTCACTTACTACCATGAGAACAGCATGGAGGAAACCGCCCTTGTGATCCCATCACCTCCCACCTGTTCCTCCTTCAACACCTGGGGATTACAATTCCAGATTTGGGTGGGGACACAGAGCCAAACCATATCAGCATGTTCGCCAGTAAAACTTGACCTTACACATCTATCATGCCCAGAGGAAACTAACACAAATCAGTGCCAAATGAGTACTGTCAATAAACATATCTGCCCTGTCACACCTCTTTCAACTCTAGAGGAGTGAGAGGCCCCTAAAGTGGGGAAGAAGCAGAAGAACTCTCTGGGGAATTAAGGAAGAAGCTAACAAGCCCTTTTCCATAGCTGGTGGCCCATCCTAACAAAGGGGGAAGTCTTCAACTTCAATAAACTTTAAATTCTATTTTATGAAAATGATATTTTAGCTAGTGACCCGAGATTGTCTAGGAGACCTAGAAGTAACTTGAAAAGTCAAGACTGGTCTTAACTTTATCCAAGAGGATAAAATTAAGGGGCAAGAGGAGAATTGTTCCAGCAGAAAAAATTTTAAAGAGCAATGAGAGAAAATTAAGTTGTTTCATGATTGTATTATCTATCTGTGTCCTACTCCTTCAATATAATACTTGTACACTAAACCAAAAAAAGCATTTTTATTATGTAAAATATAATAGCATCTATACAATGCATCCAAGTATTTGACATGCATAGTCTGTCAAATAGCAATTGGATATTCACAATATTAAAAAGGCAAGTTCTTATTACGGTTCTTCAATTAAAAAGGCATTGTTAACAGACTTGAATTTTATAATGTGAATACCAATCAGTTTAAAGGTATTGACTGAGCTCCTTCTATGCGTCTATTTCTCTTTTTCTCTCCTGCAAAGGAGTTTAAGTTCTAATTAAAAAGGCATTAAAATACTTAACAGTCTGCTTCAAACTAAAAGTTTTGAAATTTAAAAAATAAAAGTATTAGAAGAGTTTAATAAAGCTTGCTTTATAAAAATTTGAATATTTTAAATGTTTTAGTATTCAAGTAAGCTTGGTTTTGCTTGAACATGTGCTCATTCTGAAAATAAATAGGATGCTTGATATTAACAAATTCTGAAAAAGGCTTAACCGTAAAGATACCATACCTTATCTATCCAAAATCAGCGGGTGGCCCAAATCTATTTATATTTCATAAATATTTCAGTTATAGAAACAAAAGAAAGCAGTAACATAAATACCAAGAAAATCAAGACCACAGAGACTGCTAACAGTATGTGAAGCTTTTATAAGATTTATATATTTAACATAAATGTATTTTTCATATTTTCTATGTCTACATGTCTTTAATAACCATGCATTTTAGTCTCACATCAGGATTCTCTAGCACATAATCAGGGATGAAATTCTCAAACTATTTGCTTAAATACATTATTATAAAAATTATTATAAAAAAATCTCAACCACAGTAAACCTTCAGATCATATTTTCTTGCTAAATTATTTTATCTCCAAATTTTTTAATGTTAAATAAGATATTTAAATTAAGAATTATATAGATATTATATTCTAATTCTTTTTTAAATGAGAAGTGTTTAAAAAAAGAAAAGAGGCAGATAGAGGAAAAGAGGGGAAGTTGAGGAAAACCTTTATGTAATAAATTAATGAATAATATATCAAGGGTTGCAATTTCAATAGAAGCAGCAAACATTTTGATTTACAGAATCCCATTAAATTTGGATCAATGAGAGTCATTACATAGTTTTTTTTTTTTTTTTTTTACAGACAGGGTCTCGCTGCTGGAATGCAGTAGCGCAATCATAGCTCACTGTAGCTTCCACCTCCTGGGTTCAAGGGATCCTCCTGCCTCAGCCTCCCAAGTATCTGAGACTACAGGCATGTGCCATGTGCCACCATGCCCTGATAATTTTTTAATATTTTTTTAGAGATGAGATCTCCCTATGTTTCCCAGGTTTGTCTTAAGCTCCTAGCCTCAAACCATTCTCTTGCCTCAGCTGCCAAAGTCACTGGGATTATAGGCATGATCCACCATGCCCAGCTACATTAACTAGATTTTATTGACATTATAGGGAGAAAAAGAATCTTTCTATGTCCTGGGGTTCCAAGATAGAAGAATGCTGGAGCTACTCATGGCCATCTTGTCAATAGGAGAGGAGAGCTGAGCCCAGAATAAACCGAAAAGAAAACAGAGCTAAAAGATGAAGAGAAAGTTTCCTATCAACAACTTTGACCCCTTGAACTCAATAGAGCCTATCGATTAGAGCTCTACAATTTTAATTTATGGGAACCAATAAAGACCCTTTTTTTCGCCAAAGCCAAATTGAATTGTTTTTGTTCTAACACTTGCAAATGATGGTTCTGATTAATGCAACTCAAAAGTAAAATTGATTCTACAAAAATAAAAAATTGAAACAGATTAGCTGAGTCTTGGTGTGGTAGCTGAATGATGGCTTCAAAATGTTTATGTCCTCATCTCCAGAATTTATAAATATATTACCTTACACAGTAAAGGGACTTTGCAATGTGATTAAATTAAGGATTTTGAGGCGATTGTTTTGGATCACCTGGTTAGGCCCAATGTAAACACAAGGGTGTTCCCTCTTACAGAGGAAAGCAGGAGGAGTTAGAGTCAGAAAGAGAGAAGACCAGTTACGGAATGTGGGTAAGGGAAGCAGAGATTAGAGCGGTGAGCTTTGAAGATGGAGAAAGGGGCCACAAACCAAGAAATAGAGGTGGATGCTATAAGCTGAAAAACAGATTCCCCCCTACAGCCACCAGAAGGAATCAGCCCTTGACTTCAGCCCACTGAAACTGATTTCAGATTTCTCACCTCCAGAACTGAAAGATTTGTCTTATTTTAAACCACCAGATTTCTGGTAATTTTTATAGCAGCCATAGGAAACTAATGTAGTTGCACATTTCATGAAAGCATTTTTTGTTACTGAAGATCCTTTACATTATCAAGAGAATTACCTCTCTAGCAAAGTTAAAAATAGATTCTGGGTATGCTGAATTGTAAAATGGAATTCTGTCCTCTATCAAAGCAGCAAGATTGAAGAAGAAACTCCAGGTCTTCTTCCAACTTCTCTTCACTGTAATCTACTCTGATCTATTCTGACAGCCTTTGGTGTTGGATTGGGATTGGTGGTATCCGTTTGAACTTTAGTATTTTCCCTGCTTCTGACTACTGAGACTACTGGACAACACTGACACCCTAATAACAATAAGTATATCAAGTGCCCAAATCTAAATACTGTTTTCCACCAAGAAGAAGCAGAACCTGTTGGAGAACTGTCTGATTCTGGTATGGAATTGGGGAAGTACAAGATTAGTCTGGGACATCTTTTTGTGCCACAAAGTAACAAAGTGCTCAGTGAATGAAAAAGACAGGTCAGACTGACATAGAAGCCAGTCTGAAGGAATTCCTAATGACCAAATCAAGAACAATGTGGGTATCAAAATAAATAATAAGAAAAAATTATAGCCCATTTTATAAACTAGGAATTCATGAGCCCATATCAATATAAATAAACAGGGAGAAGAGGACTCTCACACTAGAATGGCAACTAATAAATATAGAATGAATGCCTAAATTAGAAAAACCAAACATATAGTAACTATCATCATCATCGTAACTGATTCAGCCAAAATATATCAATGAATGCCAAAACTAGTAGATGAAAGTTTAATGAAGAATGAATACTTCACATATTTACATATTAACAGAACTAAGGAAATTGCAAAAATTTTTAAAAATGCATTGAGCAGCCCTGAAGTCCAATTTACCTCTGTACAGAAACTCTCCCCACATACTTATTAATTGTAAAGAAAATTGGGTAATTTTACAATGGAAAAGCTTAACAGACAGCACTTCAATTAAGGGTTCAAAGTGAACATCACCAATAATGGAACAAATTAAAGTTGTAGACCACCTGATAGGATGCAATGAGAGGAACGCACCATTACTTCTATGCTTCTGTGATATTCCTGCCACATATATATAATCTGAATATAATAATGAGGAAATCACACAAACCTCAAGTGAAGGGTATTCTACCTAATAATTTGCCTGTAAAGGTCATGAAAGTCAAAGAAGACTGAGATTCAAGATTAAGGGAGATAAAAAGAAATAACAAACTCAACATGTGATCCTCAACTGGACCTTCTTGCTATAAAACATTGGGATAATTGGCAAAACATGAATGGAGTCTGCAACTAAATGGAACTAATGTAGAGAATTAGATTCCTGATTTTGGCCAGGTGTGGTGTCTCACGCCTGTGATTCCAGCATTCTGGGAGGCCAAGGCAGAAAGATCATTTGAGCCCAGGAGTTGGAAACTGCAGTGAGCTATGATGGCGCCACTACACTTCAGCCTAGGTGACACAGTGAAACCCTATCTGGAAAAAAATAAAATTTCCTGATTTTAATGATTACATGGTGTTTTGGTAGGAGCATTGTCCTGCTTTTGATACATTAAGAATCAGGTTGTAATGGGGCATCATGTCGGCAATTTACTTTCAAATTGATCCAAGAAAAAAAAAAAAAAGGCCTTTGTACAATTCTTGCAAATCTGAAAGTTTAACACTCCTTCAAAATAGAAAAAGATACTATGATTAATTAAAAAAAAAAAATAAGCCCAGAAACTACAGTTCGAATTGTGTAGCCCTGGTGCCAGTGTTAGCACCATGAACAGACAAGATAGATTATGTTAATTTGATTATGCCGGTCTTAATAACCAAACAAACCCCAAAAATGATGTACATAATTTAAAAGACCACTTTATGGAATTTAAAGTTCCACTTAGCCGCAATTTGTTCCTCATTCAGAGATATCTATTACTGACACTGATGAATTTCTAAATCTCCTCCTATAGATAACATAGCCTATGTAGTCATCAGTGGTTGCCTACACCGTATCCATTCCCCCTTCTTCTCTTCTGACACAGTTCTACTATGGTTCAGGCATCTATGCCTTCCACCATTACCAATGTGTTTTAAAGTAAGTTGAGAGACTGTAGCACCAGAGTGGGCCTCATTTATCTGAGGGTAATCCCATCCATCATACTAGAGAGATTGGTTCAGCTAATCCAATTAGCTCTTAATACTCTCCTAGCCTCAATTTTTAATTTAAGAATTAGCTTGTAACTTAATCTGAGCCAGTGAGTCATAAAGGAGGGTTTTCTGGGTGTTTCTGGTAAGAAACTTTTTCATTTTTCAAAGCAAAATGGACTCCCTCTCATCTTCTACATATTCCATTATATAGAACCTAGAACTTCTAATGGCATTTTGCCAGCATGAGGCAACGCAGTCTAAGGAAAAGGACATCACACTTAAAGCAACAATGCCAAAGAAAGTGCAAAGAAAAGGAGCTGTGCTCACTGAGTTAAGCCAGCCCTGAAATCCATCCTGCCATTGTATTATACTTTGTCAGCCAATTTAAACCAATGGGAGTGAAATAAATTTTGTTACTTGATTCCAAATCTATGCTAACTGATATAATCTATAACTTCTGGTTTGAAAAGGTGGCACACACAGGCCAATTTTTCCAGGTAATTTCTTATTTTGTCCTCCTTCTGAAGCCTAATATGAGAGTAGGGGGTATAAGAAGAGAAATAAAGGCAAGGAAAAGAAGGTAAATTAGTCTATTCATTGGCTAGAAGTCTGGAGATGGGTATTTGCATATGCATTTAGAACAAGATTCTTGCCAGCAGAAGTGTGAAAAAAATTAAAAATTTAGAAAAAAGAACAAGAAAAAGTATTTTATTTTTTAACAAACACACATATCACACTTACTATGTGTCTGGCACTATTAAAATGTTTTATAAAGTTAACTGATTTGATTTTTGTAACAAATTTATGAGAAACTATTATTATATCCTCATTTCCAATTGAAGAAACTGAGACAATCGAGGTTAAGTAATTGGCCTAAGGGCACACATCTGGCAAGTGGCAAGGCCAGGATTGAAATCACTGTTATATTATTTAATAATACCAGACAGAGAAAAATTCATCTTAATGAGGACACCTTAATATTATCTATATATTATAAGATATGGCATGCGGTTTATTCATGTGCAAACCTAAGATTGTATCAGAGAAACTAGATATTTCTCAAATATTCAAATAAATGGAACTATTAGTCATTTATCTTAAAAAATATAATTGCTGTGTGTCTATGTTTATCTAAAATCAACACATGAGCTGACAGTAGTACAAACTCAGTAATTATGAAGTACAGTACATTATAGTAGAAAAGCCTGTTAAAAATAGAAAAAGAGGTCTGGCACAGTGGCTTACGCCTGTAATCCCAGCACTTTGGGAGGCTGAGGCAGGTGGATCACGAAGTCAGGAGTTCAAGACCAGTTTGGCCAAGATGGTGAAACCCCATCTCTACTAAAAATACAAAAATTAGCCAGGCGTGGTGGTGGGAGCCTGTAATCCTAGCTACCTGGGAGGCAGAGACAGAGAATTGCTTGAACCCAGGAGGCGGAGGTTGCAGTGAGCCAAGATCATGCCACTGCACTCCAGCCTGGATGACAGAGCAAGACTTTGTCTCAAAAAAAAAAAAAAAAAGAAAGAAAAAGAAAAATTTCTCTTGATAAAAACACACAATAGTTGAAGTCTATAATGGTAAATCTGAACTACAGTTTTGTCATCAGAAACCAGTAAAAGGCACAATTTTCTTTTTTGCCCAGTACATTTTGTATCTTTGCTCATTCAAGTCTGCCTAATTGACACCTAAACTTCATGTCTCCTGACTTACACCTGCTTAGTCTATATTTCCCATAGGCAGTTGGTCTAACGAGCCTTCTGTAGGCTTAAAAGGGAGGGATAAGAAGGAGGTAGACCTCCCAGCTAATGCAAAAGAAAGACCTGTGTTTTCCAATAGTTTGTATTTGACTTAAGGAGACTGCCTGTTGCTTTGAACAAATCTTCCTTCAATTTTTCCCTTTCAAAGCAGTCCATTAAGTTTAAAGTGGTTTTAGTGAGGAAGAAGCCTAAAGATAGAACAAAGAAAAGATGAGTAAGAAGGAAATTCTCTTCAACCTATCATGACTGAAGTATTTAATGATGCCTTTAACTATTTAAATGCTGCAATGTCTAAATTTTCGAAGGACAAAAATAAATTGGAGCATGCAGTAAGGTTAACAGCATAATTTAAAATATTTCTGCTTGCTACAAAGAAGCTGAACAAACACAAATCATCAGTAAAACTTCCCTGGACAGTTTTTAAGCTGTCTGGCTCATTCCTATCAGTCCCCAAAG
The DNA here is from genome assembly GCF_000001405.40 of Homo sapiens. Taxonomy (NCBI): domain Eukaryota; kingdom Metazoa; phylum Chordata; class Mammalia; order Primates; family Hominidae; genus Homo; species Homo sapiens. The sequence goes on along the minus strand of NC_000005.10, from coordinate 99,092,008 downwards.
CTTGTCTAAATTATTGTAGGTAGCATCTTGATTTTTAGCCATGTCTAACGTATGCCATTTTCACTACAGTTTTTAAGTTCTTTCCATTTCTGAATGACAGAAAACATGCCTTTGCATTATATTGCCTATAGTTCAAAAAATATAACAGCTATTGGATAAATGTTTGAATAAATACATGGAAATTAGAAAACACTAGGCTCTCAACAAATACAGAGAAAACATTTTTCTAATTCTATAGCACTAATAAAATAATTTTATTGTTAAGTTTATACTGAAGATTTATAATTTTATCTTTGTTTTTGTAATATGTTGCTGTGACAATCATAGCTTATTTGATGGTGAGTAACTGAACAAGAATGCAATCACCAATATAGATTCCTGTGGGAAAATGCAATGTGTTTACGATGCAGTTTCCAGAAATGAATTGGAAAAAGTGAGGATTATCTTGTCATTTTGTTATCTTACAAATTCATATGCCTACTAAACTAGATTTAACTCTCTTGGTATAATTAGTTTTGATTTCAGAGTTTACACATTTTTCTGATAAAAATATAATTTAGATTGTGGCTAAGATCATTAATATTTTTTAAGGTAAGTTTGGTAGCTATGAAATATAAGTAGGTAAAATTTGCATCATGGCCAATCAAATTTAGTTCTGTTTTCTCTCAGTTTATCTTCCACATCAGAAAATAATGCAAAAGGCCGGGCGCGGTGGCTCACACCTGTAATCCCAGCACTTTGGGAGGCAGAGGCAGGTGGATCATGAGGTCAGGAGATCGAGACCATCCTGGCTAACAAGGTGAAACCCCGTCTCTACTAAAAATACAAAAAATTAGCCGGGCGCGGTGGTGGGCGCCTGTAGTCCCAGCTACTCGGGAGGCTGAGGCAGGAGAATGGCGTGAACCCGGGAAGCAGAGCTTGCAGTGAGCCGAGATTGCGCCACTGCAGTCCGCAGTCCGGCCTGGGCAACAGAGCGAGACTCCGTCTCAAAAAAAAAAAAAAAAAAAAAAAAAAAAAAGAAAATAACGCAAAAAAAAAAAAAATCAAAAAATCTCAGGAATGCTTACCAAGCATCTAACGTTAGTTTTCAAATGCTATTCAAACAAATTGGGGTAAAGAATAATACAGGTATATGGAAATTCTACAAACAAATTTTATTTTAAAATTTATTTTAAAATTGATTGCATGATATAAATATCTGCATGGACTTCTGTGATACACATGTGCATTAAATAGCATAAATTAGATGTACATGAGATCTTACAGTAAATAAATTTCTGATACATATGATTAATGCAATGGTGATTTTAGGCTTTGAATAGGTTTTCCTGTTGGAATTATAAGAAAAGTTTAGATAATGTCGTCTCTTAAATGAAATCAATTATGCCTTTTCTAAATGAGTATTCGTGGTCTGGGAAAGTAACACCTGAAATAACATTTGTAATTATTATGCTGGTAAATCTGGATAATACACTAAAATCCTTTCAGGAAAACACAATAATAAATAAAGCTAATAAAAAACAAATGGTCATCCTCATGACTTCTTTTAAAAAACTAAGTCCAAAGGGTAAAATCCATTTGCCTCCAGTTCATCCTTTCAAAAGTAAGAGTTCCCAGGTTTGACAGTTAATTTCATGTGTCAGATGGACTGGGCCACAGGGTGCCCAGATATTTGGTCAGACATTGTGGTATGTCCATGAGGGAATTTTTTTGGATAATATTAACATTTAAATCATTTGACTAAATAAAGCAGATTCCCCTCCCTCATGTGAGTGGGCTCATTCCATCAGTCGAAGGCCTGAATAGAACAAAAAGGCAGACCCTTCCTCAAGGAGGAGGGAATTCCTCCTTCCTGTCAGCTTTTGAACTAGGAATCAGTTTTTTCCTGCCTTTTCACACAAACTGGAACATCACGTCTTCCTGTGTCTTGAGCCTGCTGGCCTGCAGACTGGAATGACATGATAGGCTCTCTGGGTTATCAGCTTGCTGACTCATCCTGCAGATCTTGGAAGGTGTCTGTCTTTGTAATATCATGTAAGCCAAGCCCTCATAATAAACAAATATGTAAATACCTCTTATTGGCTCTGTTTCTCTGGAAAACTCTAATTAATACACAAGGCCATCCACAATGTTAGTTTGCTGGTCTGCTTATTGCATATATACCTGTTTTATAGATGGGCCCATGATACTATCTTATCTTGAAGGCATTATGCTTTAGGAACATCTAACTCTTTTTTAATCTTTTAATGGCTTTATTAATTTTCTGACATTAATTTGGTTTCATGGGAATTTTTTGTCACTGGTAGAAGAATATTTAGATCACTAAATATGTATTTTCCAGAAACTTTCTATCTAGAGATTTCATTTTTAACCAAGTAATTTGCAAGATTAATACATCCGTTTCTTTAGGATACATATGTCTCTCAAAGCCTGATTATTCCAGATAGATGACAATAGAAAGGTCTTCAGTACAAAGGCTGAAAAAAAGAGTTAGATTCCAGGTATGCTCACAGGGAGGACCTATTTCCCATGTTCTCTCTGAAACATAGAATTTCAATCAATCAATCTTCCTCTTTCCTCCTTCTTCCCTACCCCTCATCTTTTCACTTCTTCTCACCTCATGGCAATGGTACTACATTTCAGAATGTTCCACATTATACAATGTGTTAGGGAACAGATAGTAAGTATGGTTTAATCTCAATTTCTGATTCTAATTCATTATTACTGGCTGTCTCACCCACTATGTTTAGCATGAACAGGTATGGGCCATTTGATAGGAATGATCAATTAGCCATACCTGCCATGAATGAGGAAGAAAGCAGTGGCTACAAAAGTCAAGCATTTTCTATCTCTTCTCCAGATTTTTAAGCTGACACCCATTTAAATGGAAACATGAAGAGCAATATTGCAGGACAATTTATTGTGATAATAATTTCTGTCTTATTCTCACTTCTATGTGAGACTCTCAGAAGAAATGCAAATGTAATTGCGTTGCAGTTACCCAGACCCTTAGCAATAGGAACGTCCAGCATTGTATTCATTTCCTTTATTTTAAGGGCTTGTTAACAGCTTTGGGTTTCAGAGGCAGGAACAGAGGTTGTCTGGTAGCAAGGGGAAAATCCTCTTTTGGGCTTTTGCTTGGAAATCAAAGTAACTTTCATTAATTAGTTCATTACCAGAACTTTCATTCTGGTAGTCCCAGAGGGAGGAGGGGCTAGAGGCTGTGCTTGCAGTCATTTTGGAAAATGGGTCATTTTGGAGAAGAAAGGGTAGCTTCTGGGAGAGACAGGAGGACTTTCTAGTATTCTTATCTGGTGCACATTCACAGACTTTTCTCCCGGTGCCAGAGACTAGGGAAGATGGAATCTTTTGGACCTCTTTGGAATCTGGCCTCTAAGTCCTGAGACCTAGAAAATACAGGTCACTGTGTGACAGAGCCTGTGGTCAGTACAGAGAAATATTGTAAAAGCATCTGAGTCATTCTGGAGCAGCAGTCCCTGAATAACGGTAGAGAAACAGCTCTTCACAGCAGCGTCACTTGATAAGAGAAACAATAGTAATGGCAAACAACACAGTGGACAATAGACCAAGGACTAGGATCTTCTTCCATTTTCCATGAGCTTGAATGTTTGCACAGCCCTAGGATCAGTAGTCATCTAATCCCCTCTTCCCCTTAGAAAAATGATTAGGATAAAAGTAGAGAGCTAAAATCCACATTTAAGCTGAAAAAAAATTCTATACGGTCCCCCAAATATTGCATAGCAGAATTATACCTAATAATACCAAAATTATACCAAAAATTAAAACTAAAATAATACAAGATTAATTTAAAATACGTGCAAATTCAGTGGTATCACTAGAAGTTCCATGAAGCTGGAAGCAGGGGTCAGAGGATCTCTTGGGCAAATAAGAGGGATAAAAAATGAGGATCGAGGCACTGATAGTTTAAACCACCTGTCCAAGATCACATAGCTAGTATGAGAGAGCTGGAATACTAACATGGATCTTCTGATTCCTGTAAGACTAAAAGACCCAAGGTCACTCAGTATTCAGAAGCATGATTTATGTTGTAGTGCTTGAAACTACGTAGGGAACTAGGGATCAGGTATCTAAAGGTGCTTTCTGGGGCCCCCATGCATATGAGCATCTTCAGGAACAGGGTGAAACACCATAACACCTGGATGTGTGAAGGGCAAATCACTGGAGCAGATTGAGAAACTGTAGAAGAAATGTGGAATCAGGCAAATCTAAATTCTCACTTCTGTGGGAAAATTTCTAAACTCTCTGAGCTTAGAAAACGCATGTAATGGCTGGGCACAGTGGCTCATGCCTGTAATCCCAGCCCTTTGGGAGGCCATGGCAGGCGGATCACGAGGTCAGGAGTTCAAGACCAGCCTGGCCAATATGGTGAAACCCTGTCTCTACTAAAAAACAAAAATACAAAAATTAGCTGGCCGTGGTGGCGTGCGCCTGTAGTCCCAGCTACTCAGGAGGCTGAGGCAGGAGAGTCGCTTGAACCTGGGAGGTGGAGGTTGCAGTGAGCCGAGACTGCACCACTGCACTCCAGCCTGGGCAACAGAGTGAGACTCTGTCTCAAAAAAAAAAAAAATTTCATGTAATGTGCCCAGGATGTGGGAGGTATTATACTAACATACTTTGAATAGTGAGTCGTGCAGTGAGCATGATGAAGAAACAGGAAAAAAATCTGCCACAACAGATCAAAACATCACAGGAAGCTTCTTGAAGAGATTCAATAAATAATCTACTGGTGCAGGTTTTTTACAGATTTGCTTTGTGGCTTGTTTTGGAAGCAGATGCTTGTAAAATTGTATTTATAATCTCTTTGTATATCTATATTTTGTTATATATTGCAATATTTACTGAAATTCTGTTGATTTTCAAATTTCTGTGAGAATGTAATTCCTACCAACTCCAGTTTTGTCATGCCTATTAAAAGTCAGAAACGTAATTCTGAAACTTGGCAGGAAATTAACATACACCAAATTGTATGGTTCTCCCGGTCTTTGATTAGACTTCCTTTAAAATATATGTATTATATTTAAATTTATGTACATAATATATAAATGCTTTTTACATATGCAGTCAATATTTTTGCTTTTAAAAAAGTAAAGGAAAAAAACAAAAAAAAGGGGCTTTGAATATTTTTTCTTCTTCACAGCCCAAACAATCCTAATTGTGCTCAAACTGCTCCTAAATCTCTTCAATGATTTCTTATAAAATTTTAAATATTTTTAGCAAATATTCAGTGTGCTGTTACATATACAAAAGATTTATAATTGTGTTCCTATATGGTATTTATTTTTATTAATTATGGAAAAATATATACAAGATGAATCAATAATGGATATATACATATATAGAGATACACATCTTATAATCTGTATAAACCAATAATTTCCATAACTCATAGAGCAACTTATTACATACTAATACTATAACATAACTGAGAAACCAGGAGCCTTTTTTTTTTTGAAACAATGTATCTTGCTCTATCACCCATGGAGTGCAGTGGTGCCATCTCGGCTCCCTGCAATCTCTGCCTCCTGACTCAAGTGATTCTCCCATCTCAGCCTCCCATGTAGCTGGCACCACAGGTGTGCACCACTACAGCTGGCTAACTTTTTTTTCTCTTTTTTAGTATTTTTTGTAGAGATGATGTTTAGCCATGTTGCCCAGGCTGGTCTTGAACTCCTGGACTCAGGCTATCCTCCTGCCTCAGCCTCCCAAATTGCTGGGATTACAGGCGTGAGCCACCACATCCAGCCACAAGGAGATTTCTGTTTGAATACCTTTTTCTCTATCGGACTAGTTTTATTCACATTATGAGAAATAGATTCGGATGTGGCTGAATAGTCAACTTGTTAATTACTCTCTGAACAAGTTCTAAATGTGTCATTATTATCTAAATAATGAATAAGTGTGGGTGTGATTTCAATATGGAATAACCTGCCCTTGGCTTTTATTTCTTGAGAAATGTAATATCACTTCAATTGCTTTCGATCAGATGTGACATCTTCTGTACACTGATAGATATATTATTGATATTCCTGGTCTTGATGTGACAAAATATCTCTTTCATCTTTGATTAAAATGAATTATCACATTGCAACAGTTACTCTCCCAGTTGTCAGTTGCATAGCCGGCTTGCCTCTCATTTACCACAACACTTCGGTTTTAAAAAGCACGTTCAATGTTCAATGAATACACTGGTGTTTCTATACATGTAACTCAGCTTCCTTTCTCCTGAGATACCAGGCATATAAACTTCTATCCATTGCAGTGCCAGTCTATTGCTTTTGCCTGCCTGACTTCCTTTCTATGTGAGGTCACCGCAGCCCAACTTTCCTTTGAAGAATCTCCCCTTGTCCCTTTTCAGTCCCTGTGATATGGGTGGTGTTGATCTTAGCAGTCCTTCAATCACCCCTCTCTAAGAATAAGCATGTGAATAAACCTGACCCATGAGTTTGGTCCATGACCCAGCCACAGTGAATGGTTCAGGGTTAGGAACATAACCCAGTTGGGTGAATCAGAATCATCCCTTAGACTTTGTTGGTCTGAAATAAATAAATAAATGAAAGTGTAAGTTAGACTACAAGTTGGATGCAAATCCCGCTGACATGTTTTGATTCTTTTGATTCAGCTCTGCCTAAATCTGAAAATCCACTTTTGGACCTTTCAATTATATAAGCCATTCAATTCCCTTTCTTTTTAAACAAATAAATTGAGAGGGATTTTCATTCACTTGCAAAAGACCCTTGATTCATATGCCCATAATTAGATTTTTTTCCCATTAAGATTATATATTAGTCAAAATGGGATAAACTCCGGTGAAATAAATAAAATTAGAAATTCATCTACACAGTATAAATTATGTTAAAATAAATGAATTTTAAGGCCGGGCACGGTGGCTCATGCCTGTAATCCCAGCACTTTAAGAGGCCAAGGCATGCGGATCACTTGAGGCCAGGAGTTCAAGACCACCCTGGACAATATGACGAAACCCCGTCTCTACTAAAAATACAAAATTAGCTGGGTATGGTGGTGCATGCCTAAAATCCCAGCTACTCAGGAGGCTGAGGCAGGAGAATCACTTGAACCCGGGAGGCAGAGGTTGCAGGGAGCCAAGATCGAGCCGCTACACTCCAGCCCGGGTGACAAAGCAAGAATCCATTTAAAAAAAAAAAAAAAAAAAGATGACACAGACCACTACAGCTCACAGCCCATTGTCCAATCTGGTCACTTGGCATCAAACTATCTCCAAGGAAGGTTGGGAAAATGGAGGGAAGCACCTTCATACTCACTGGGCAGCAGCAATCTGTATCAGTCTGGAGTCGCCAGAGAAAAAGAACCAATAAGTCTTATACACACCCACACACCACACACACACACCCCCCCCCCCCCCACACACACACACAGGTATTTATTTTAAGGAATTGATTCACATGACTGTGGTGGCTGGTAAATCTGAAATCCACAGACCAGCAGGTTGGAAACTCAGGCATGAGTCGATACTGCAGTCTTGAAACCAAAAATCTTCTTTGGAAAACCTTAGTTTTCACTCTTAAGGCCTCAAATGATTAAATGAGACCAACCCAAATTACTTAAAGTCAACTGGTTATAGATATTAAGCATGTCTACAAAATACCTTCACAGCAGCCCCTAGATTCGTGTTTGATTTAATAACTGGAAACTATAGCCTAGCCAAGTAGACACATTAAAATTAACCATCTAACTAACTCTGCTCCAAATGAAATACCCTTCTTTTCCATTTTTTTCTTTTAATATTGCTATGGATATAAGTATCTCTGCTGTATGGTGGGAGATTATTGTCACGTCCTATTGCTGCACATATACTATACGTCTCCTCTCACAGCACAAAGCTGACTGTTTTAACATTAAAAAATTATTTCTCTGCTCATTAGGATGTTAATTCCTTTCTGAAATCTTAGAAACTTTCAATGCTATGTTTTCAACTGCTTCCATTTATGTATTCATTAATTTGTTCAATTAATATTTTTCAGTACCTACTGTAAGCTAGATACACCAAAGGTCATCTTTTCATGTCATAAATTTGCATCATCATATTGATAGAGAATAGTAACTGTAGTAACCATTTATTGTTTTGTGACAAATCGTCCTAAAACTTAGAGGCTAAAAGCAAGAACAACTTATTTCTTATGGTTTCTGTAGGTCAGGAATTTCAGAGCAGTTTCATTGGGTAGTTGGTTCTCTCTCAGGATCTTTCATTTGAAATGCAGGCAGATATTGGCTGGTGCTACAGTCATTAGTCATTAGAAGTCTTAACTAGGACTGCAGGATTACTTTCAAGGTGGCTCACTCAACTGTGCAAGTTGGTGCTGCCTATCAGCAGGGCTTTCATGGCTCTGCATGTGAACATCCTCACAGGGCTCCCTGTGTGAGTCCTGAAAGCTGGCTTTCTCTGGAACAAGAGATCCAAAAGTCTAAGGCAAAAGCTTCAATGACTTCAAAAGCTTTTATGACATATATTTGGAAGTCACACACAGTCACTTCCACTGCCTTCTATTGGTCACACAGACCAGCTCTGAATCAATATGGAAGGAGGCTATACAAGGCCATGCATTCCAGCTGAGGGTCACAGGGGCCATCTCGGAGGCTGTTTACAGTAACTTACGTTAATCCTTTACTACAAATACCTTTTGTTTAGTGATCCAGCTGGCTCACCCTATTGAATATATGGCTCCATCATTCATATATTCAGGTCTGACTACATCATGAGCTGACGTTTTAGTTACATTTAGCATGGACCTAAAACTGCTACCTTAGGTAAGAGTAACATGAAAAAATTACACTTCTTTCCTCACTGGACTGGTAGCCCAGATGTTCTCTGAGGAGGTTCAGCTGGAGGTTGTGGACACCAGACACATGTACACACACACCAGTCATTTACCTAAGTACACCATTCTAGGTTCCACCAACTCCTACACAAATAGAAGTTTCCTAACTTTGGTCACAGAAGCAAAACAAGTAAGAACTAAGTATTATTTGGGCATTACACTTAATAGAAAATAAAGAATTATGTAATATTGGCTCATTTCTACATCTTGATCTCTCTGAAATTTCCATCTTATTACATTAAAATGTCTAGTAAGTTCAGTCTTAGAGAAGACACAAATAGTAACAGAACAACATTGAATTTATTTTATTGGAAGGGGTACAAAATTGACATGCAGCATAAAAGGTCATGGGAGCTCTTGGGAAGATTCTCATAGGGAGACAATTGCCACGATGATAAAATGTGATAATTGCCATGATGGGCACAGCAACTTTGGGCTGGGTAATGTCGCAATATAGTTTCAGTTCTTATATCCATTAGTTGTAACAATAAAGCAGTTATATGCTAATTCCTATCTTTAATAAGGTGAAAAATGCTTTGAATTTTTAAAAATCACCATTTAAATTCAAATAATTATTCTCTGCGTTCTCCTCCCAATTCTACAGGACTTCTCCTAAGTGCATTTACGTTTGGACCCCAACACATAGATTGAGAATCTATTCGTTTTTATTAGGCCAGGTAGTTTGACTAATAGAGACACTTAAGGAGATGTTCAGAATAAACAACTTACAAAAATCTGAGTTAACTGGCCAAATAAATGTTTAAACATTTTCAAAGTTAAATAATCAATTATTTATTACTCAAAGGAAAATTTGACAGCACAATATGAGCTTTAATGATTCAATTAATGACAAATTATAATAAAATTTCTACAGACTTGTTTTCAAAATCCTGGTATACCACCAGATTTATTAACATTGTCATCACTTTTTTTGTCATTACTTTAAAAAATATTAATATTAAGGGAGCAGTTAGACAATTCAAAATAGGAATTCAAACTATCTCTTTGCAGATGATATGATTTTATACCTAGAAAACCCCATAGTTTCTGCCCAAAACCTCTTAGATCTGAAAAACAACTTCAGCAAAGTGTCAGAATACGAAACCAATGTACAAAAATCATTAGCATTTCTATACCCTAGGAATGTCCAAGCTGAGAGCCAAATCAAGAACACAATCCCATTCACAACAGTCACACACAAAAATAAAATACCTAGGAATGCAGCCAGCCAGGGAGGTGAAAGATCTCTACAACATTAAATAAAAATGCAGCTCAAAGAACTCAGACATGACACAAACAGATGGAAAAACATTCCGTGCTCATGGATAAGAAGAATCAATATTGTTAAAATGGCCATGCTACCTGAAGCAATTTACAGATTCAGTGCTATTCCTATCAAACTACCAATGACATTTTTCACAGAATTAGAAAAAATTATTCTAAAATTCATATAGAACCAAAAAAGAGCCTGAATAGCTGAAGCAATACTAAGGAAAAAGAACAAAGCTGGAGACATCACACTACCTGAATTCAAATTACTATACTACAGGGCTGCAGTAACCAAAACAGCATGGTATTGGTGCAAGAACAGACGCATAAACCAATGGAACAGAATATACATTCCAGGAATAAGACTGCACACCTACAACTATCTGATCTTTGACAAAGTCAACAAAAACAAGCAATGGGGAAGTACCCCCTATTCAATAAATGGTGCTGGGATAACTGGCTAGCCACATGCAGAAGATTGAAAGTAGACCCCTTCCTTTCACCATATACAAAAATCAACTCAAGATGGATTAAAGACTTAAATGTAAAACATAAAACTATAAAAACCCTAGAAGAAAACATAGGAACTATCATTCTGGACATAAACCCTGGCAAAGATTTCATGACAAAGACTTCAAAAGCAATTGCAACAAAAACAAAAATTGACACGTGGGACCTATTAAACATAAGAGCTTCTGCACAGCAAAAGAAACTATCAAGAGAGTAAATAGACAACCTACGGAATGGGAGAAAATATTTGCAAACTATGCATCTGGCAAAGGTCTAATACCAGAACCTATAAGGAACTTAAGTAAATCAATTAGCAATAAACAACCCCATTAAAAATGGGCAGAGGACATAAATAGACACTTCTCAAAAGAAGACATACATGGGGCCAACAAGCATATGAAAAGATGCTCAACATCACTAATCATCAGAGAAATGCAAATAAAAACCACAATGAGATACCATCTCATACCACTCAGAATGGCTATTATTAAAAAGTCAAAAAAATAACAGATGCTGGTGAGGTTGCAGAGAAAAGGGAACACTTACACACAGCTGGTGGAAATGTAAATTAGTTTAGTCACTATGGAAGGCAGTTTGGAGATTTCTTAAAGAACTTAGAACTACCATTTGACCCAGCAATCCCATTACTGGGTACATACCCAAAGGAATGTAAATCATTCTACCATAAAGACACATGCGCGCATATGTTAATTGCAGCACTATTCACAATAACAAAGTCATGGAACCAACCTAAATGTCCATCAGCAATGGAGTGGATAAAAAATATTTGGTACATAAAAAGGCAAAGCAAAATGGTAGAGTAGAAGCTCCATTGATCATGTTCCCTGCAAGGACATCAAGTTAACAACTATCTACACAGAAAAACACACTCATAAGAACTAAATATCAGGTGAGCACTCACAGAATCTAGTTGTAACTTCATATTTCTGAAAGAGGCACTGAAGAGATCAAAAAACAGCACTAATCACCGATGCCACCCCCCACCAACCACCCACAGCAGCAGAGTGGTGTGAAGAGCATCTCTGTGTACTGGGGGAAAGAGGACACAGCAATCATGAGGCATTGAACTCAGTGCTGTCCTGTTATAGCAGAAAGGAAAACCAGACCAAACTCAGCTGATGCCCACCCACAGATGGAGCATTTAAACCAGCCCTAGCCATAAGGGAATCATCCATCCCAGTGGTCTGAACTTGAGTAGCTGTAAACCTCACCACTGAGGTCTACAGCATTCTTTGTTTCTGAGGAAACTTGAAAGACAGTCTAGGCCATAAGTACATGCAACTATTAGGCAAGTCCTAGTGCTGAATTAGGCCCAGAGACAGTGGACTGGGGGATCATATGACATACTGAGACATTAGCTGGGGAAGCCAAGGGAATCCTGGTGTCACCCCTCCTCTAACCCCAGGCTGCACAGCTCATGGCTCCAAAAGAGACCCCTTTCTTCTACATGAAGAGAAGAGAGGCAAGAGTAGGGAAGAATGTGTCTTATATCTAGGGTACCAGCCCAGCCACCACAGGATAGGGCCCTGGCCAGAGTCATGAGGTCCTTGTTTCAGGCCCTAGCTCCCAGACATTTCTAGACACACTCTGGGCCAAACTGGAACCTGCTGCCTTGAAGGAAGGATTCAGTCCTACCAATATTCATCACCTACTAACTGAAATGAGCCACCATTCTGGAGGCTGAGAACTCCAAGATCAAGAGGTAGGCAGATTTGGTGTCTGGGGAGGGCCCACTTCCTCCAGCATAGACAGTCATTTTCTCACTGTGTCCTCACATGCTGGAAGTAGGGAGGGAAGTGTCTGGGGCCTGTTTTATAAGGGCACTCATTTCATTTATGGATGCTTCATTCTTATGACCTAATCACCTCCCAAAGGCACCACCGCCAAATGCTATCACACTGGGGACTAAGTTTCATCATACGAATTGGGGGTGGGGAAGGAAAACAGACACATTCACTCCTTAGCAAGGGACTTCTTGATAAAGCATAAAATAAGGAAATTCACTGGTAAAGTTTATCTGATGACACTTACACTCCGCATTAATAAATTTTTAGCAGCACATCTCATAGCTGACAGCAAAACAATGATGTTATGATAATGTACATTTTTAAGAAACATTGCCCAAATATACATTTACATTTATTTGGTGGGTTTCAAGAAAAACTTAAAAGTATGCTTGTTACAGACTGAAGCTTTGTATCCCCTCAAAATTCTTATGTTAGAGCCCTAGCCCTCCATGTGATGATATTTGAAGATGGAGCCTTCAGAGAGTAACTAGGGTTAGATTAGGTCATGAGGGTGGGGGCCTTGCGATGGGATTAGCATCCTTCTAAGAAGAGCAAGAGAGACCAGAGTGTGTGCACTTTCTCTCTCTCTCCCTCCCTCCTTCTCTCCCTCCCCCTCCCCTTCACCATCCACTCCTCTTTTCCCTCTCTCTGCCTCTCTCTTCCATCATGTGAGGACGCAGGGAGAAAGCAACCATCTACAAGCCAGGAAGAGGGCCCTCAACAGGAAGAGAATTGGCTTGCACCTTGATATTGGACCCCCAGCCTCCAGTACTGTGAGAAGTAAATGCTGTTTAAGCCACCTAGTCCATGCTATTTTGTTAGGGCAGCCTGAGTAGCCTAAGACAACACTACTTAAATGTAGTCATAAATCTGCATTGCCAACAAAAGGAACACTACAAATCTTCATTAGAACAATTTCACTTCAAAGTCTTTAGCCAAAAGAAATAAAAACATGTCCACAAAAAGATTTCTACAGAGCTTCCAGTTTCCAGTCCAACATATAAAGGGCTTAGCAGGTGTCGTCACTCCATCAGCAAGCAAGGAGTTGAACAAACTAAAAATCAGCACCTGTTCTTAAATCCATCAGCGAAGTGAGGTCTCAAGGCAAACTGCTGCTCCAAAAATTAGAGAGATAGGCAGATCCAGAGAATGACAACTTATCAGAGCAAAAGCCTCTGTGGTAACCACTGCTGGAGTAGGAAAACCTGAACTGTAATTGATGAGTTGCTGGAGGCTCAGTGTGGGCAGCTCTGAGAGTTAAGACCTCGGGGTGGGGGAGCCGTCACGGGGAAGAACCCACATTTTCTGACTTACCTCTAAGAGCTCTAGTAGAATCTCACAGTATAGACACCTTCCTTCTTCTGGCTACAGGAGGATAAAAGTAATCATTTTGAAATAAGTCAGAGCATTCTGTTCTTAGTAAGACCTGCCCTCGGGAGAAATTATTTTACCAAAGCCTAACCTGTTGGGGTTTTATCAGAGCCTAATTAAACTACGGCAAGGGAAATACCCAACTCTACAAACGTTTCTACATATCATGTCTCATCTAAGGGAGTAAAAAAATATGAGAAGCATTTCTGAGGTTTACAGTCCATGGACAGAGGCTCACTGGAAGACTGAGACCTAATCATGGGACTATGGAAAGCTTCCCCCACCCCCTGCACCTTACCACCACGTTGCTAAAGGTCTATTTACTCAATTCCTTTTACCTAGTACATCCTACTCTGCTTTTAACAAAAAAATTACAAGCATACTAAAAATGCAAAAAAGCACAATTTGAAGAAAACGAGAAAGTACCAGAAGCAGAATAGGATACGGCAAGAATCTTAGAAATATCAGGCCACGACTTTAAAATAACTATAATTAATATGGTAAGTAATCTAATGGAAAAAGTGGGCAACATGAAAAAAAATCAATGAATGATGTAAGCAGAGAGACAGAAATTCTATAAAAGAATCAGAAATGCTAGCTAGAGATTGAAAAGCTCTGTAATAGAAATGAAGGATGCCTGGGATGTGCTTATTAGTAGACTAGACACAGCTGAGAAGAGAACCACTGAGCTTGAGGATGTGTCAATAGAAACTTCTGAAACTGAAAAGCAGAGATAAAGAAACTAAAACAAAACAGAAAAGAATATCCAAGAGCTATGGGACAGTTTTAAGAAGTGTAGCATATAAGTAATGAAAATACCAAAGAAGAATGAGAAAGGAACAAAAGAAATGTTTGAAGGAATAATGACTACAGATTTCTCCCAAATTAATGTCAAACAACAGATCCAGCAAGCTCAGAGAACACCAAGCATGATAAGTCCCCCCTGCAAAAAAAAGAAAACTAACAAAACAAAACTATGCCTAGGCATACATATTCAAACTGCAGAAAATCAAAGATAAATAAAAAATTTTGAAGTAAGCCAGAGAGCGGTGGCAGGGGAAAAACCCTTAACAGTAGAAGAGCAAAGATAAAAATTACAACCCGCTTCTCAGATAAAAATTACAACTGGCTTCTCAGATAAAAATTACAACTGGCTTCTCCTCAGAACCGATGGAGGCAAGAAGAAAATGCAGTGAAGTAAAGCGAGAGGGAAAAAGACACCAACCTAGAACTCTGTGTCCTGCAAAATTATCCTTCAAAAGTGAAGGAGCCAGGTGTGGCTCCTGTAGTCTCAGCTACTCAGGAGACTAAGGTGGGAGGATCACATGATGGCAGGAGTTTGAGGCCAGCCTGAGCAATATAGTGAGACCACTATGTCTTTAAAAAAAAAAAAAAAGGTGAGGGTGGGGGTGGGAACAAAGAGAAAATAGGCTTCCACACAAAGAAATATTTTTATCAGCCTTATTAAAAATAGCCAAAACCTGGAAACAACCCAAATGTCTAAGACAGGAGATAAATTGTGGTATGTTTATATAATGGGATACTGTTTGGCAATAAAAAAAAAAAAAAACCAAACTACTAATACATACACCAGGATAGATAAATCTCAAAAGCGTTTTTTTGTTGTTTTTGTTTTTGAGACAGAGTCTTGCTATCTCCCAGGCCGGAGGGCAGTGGCTCACTGCAACTACCGCCTCTGGGGTTCAAGTGATTCTCATGTCTCAGCCACCCAAGTAGCTGGGACTACAAGCACGTGCTACCACGCCCAGCTAATTTTTGTATTTTTAGTAGAGATGAGTTTTTGCCATGTTGGCCAGGCTAGACTTGAACTCCTGGCCTACAGTGATCTGCCTGCCTTGGCCTCCCAAAGTGCTGGGATTACAGGCATGAGCCACCACGCCCAGTCTGGATCTCAAAAACTTTTGTTAAACCAATGAGGCCAAACCCAAAAGTGTATATATTGTATGATGCAATTTACATGAAATACAAATACAAATAAAACTAATCTATCATAATAGAATCAATTTTTGGCTGTGATATGGAATGGAGTAAAAATTGACTGGAAAGAAACACAAAGGACTTTCTACGCAATGAGAAACAATATCTTGCTTTGGGTAATAGTTACAGGAATGCACACAACTGTAAAGTTCATCATATGAAATAATATATGTGCATTTCATCATGTTAATTATAACTCAATTAAAAATTTATTTACATATAAACAATTTTAAAACAAAATTGTATCATACCTGCATCATTTAAAAATAGAGCTAAGCAACGTAAAGACTGGCCAGAACTCTGACCTTGAACTGACTTTTTTTCTGGTCTTAACTCCAGCTGCAAAGCACTTCAAATGGCTCACCTTACAAAAAAAGGAGGAAACAGAATGTTATACCCCACCTGATTACTTTGAGCCTAGTGTCTCCATCTAGTTTCCAAGAACTGTAGTGATAATAATAATGATGATAATAATAGTACGTAATGTTTATTTAATGTTTATTGTGTGCTAGGCATTGTACCAAGTATTTTGTATATGTTATCTCATTTCATCTTTACAACAGTTCTTTAATTCCATTATTTTCATCATATTACAATAATAATATTGAAGCTTAGAATGGTTGAAGAGCTTAGGCATTAGAAGGAAAGTGCCTCAACATAATAAAGACCACTTCTGAAAAAACCTCAGCTGACATTGTAATCAATTTTTCCACTAAGATATGGCAGAAGACAAGGATATACACTCTTATTACTTCTGTTTAAGAGAGTACTGTAAGTACTAGCAAGAGCAATCAGACAAAAAAAAAGAAAGAAAGAAGGCAAGAAAGAGAGAAAGAAAGAAAGAAGAAAAGAAAGAAAGAGCATCCAAATCTGAAAGGAAGAATAAAATTATCTCTATTTGCAGATGACAAAATCCCATATGTAAAAAAAAGAAAGAAAGACTCCACACCAAAAAAAAAAGAAAAAAAAAGTTAGAACTAATAAATGAATTCAGTAAAGTTGCAGGATACAAAATCAACATATGAAAATCAGTAGCATGTTTATACACAAAAAGCAACCCCTAATTGGAAACAAAATCAAGAAATTAATTCCATTTAGGGTAGCATCAAAACAATACCTGGGAATACGTTTAACTAAGGAGGTAAAAGATCTGTATACTGGCTGAGCACGGTGGCTCACGCCTGTAATCCTAACACTTTGGGAGGCTGAAGTGGGCAGATCACTTGAGGTCAGGAGTTCGAGACCAGCCTGGCCAACATGGCGAAACCCCATCTCTACCAAAATACAAAAGTTAGCCTGGAGTGATGGCACATGCTTTTAATCCCAGCTACTCAGGAGGGTGAGGTAGAATCACTTGAACCTGGGAGGTGGGGGTTGCTGTGAGCTGAGATCGTGCCACTGCACTCCTGTCTGGGTGACAGAGCGAGACTCCAACTCAAAAAAAAAAAAAAAAAAAAAAAAAATATATATATATATATATGTATACTGAAAACTATAAAACATTGATAAAAAAAGACACAAATAAATGGAAATATATCCTGTGTTCATGGATCAGAAAATTCAAATTGTTAGAATTACATACTGACCAAAGCAATATACAGGTTTAACATTATTCCTATCAAACCCCAATTGCATTCTTCAAATTCCATATTAATTTTTCTTAAATTCATATGGAACCATAAAATACCCAAAACAGCCAAAAGAATTCTGAGAAAGAAAAAGTTAGGGGCATCACACTTCCTGTTTTTAAATGATGTTACAAATTTGTGGTAATCAAGAGTATAGTACTAGCATAAAAACAGACACATCGACCAGGAGAATAAAATAGAGACCCCAGAAATAAATCCAAACATTTACAATCAACTAATTTTTGACAAGGGCACCAAAAGGACACAATAGGGAAAGGAGGGTCTCTTTAATAAATGGTGCTGGGAAACTGGAATTTTCATATAAAAAAGAATGAAATTGGACCCTTAAGTACCTTACACAAAAATTACCTCAAAGTGGATTAAAGAATTAAATATAAGTCAAGAAAGTATAGAACTCCTAGAAGATAACATAGCGAAAAATCTCCTGGACATTGGTTTTGGTAATGATTTTTTTTTGTATCACACCGAAAGCTCAGGACACAAAAGCAAAAATAAATAAATGAGACTACATAAAACTAACAGCCTCTGCACAACAAAGGGAACAATCAGCAAAATGAAATAGCAGCCTATGGAATGGGAAAAAATATTTGCAAGCAATATATATGATAAGAAGTTAGTATCCAAAATTTATACAACTCAATAGTTGTATAAATTTGTGCCTGTAATCCCAACACTTTGGGAGGCCAAAGCGGGAGGATCACCTGAAGCCAGGGGTTTGAGACACTCCTAGGCAACATAGAAAGACCCTGTCTCTTCAAAAAAAAATTTAAAAAGCTGGGCATGGTGGTGTGAGCCTGTAGTCCCAGCCACTCGGGAGGCTGAGCTGGGAGAATGACTTGGGCCCAGGAAGCCAAGGCTGCAGTGAGCCAAGATCACACCACCATACTCCAGCCTGGATGACAGAGTTAGATTGTTTCTTAATTAAAAAAAAAATCAAATAAGTTGATTAAAAAATGGACAAGGACTTGAAGAGACATTTCTCCAAAGATGATATAAAATGGCCAACAGGTATAGGAAAAGGTGCTCAACATCATTAATTATCAAGGAAATGCAAATCAAATGATTATGAGACACTACCTCACACCTGTTAGGATGGCTATCATCAAAAAGTCAAAAGAGGGGAGAAAGAATGAGAAGAAAAATAAGTCAAAAGATAACAAAAGTTGACTAAGGTGTGGAGAAAAGGGAACTCTTGTACTCTGTTGGTAGGAATGTGGATTGGTACACCCATTATGAAAATAGTATGGAGGTTTCTAAAGAAATTAAAAACAGAATTATCATATGACCCAGCAATTTCTCTTCTGTACATATACTCAAAGCAAATGAAATCACCACCTTGTAAATATATCTGCACACTCCCATGTTCACTGCAGCATTATTCACAATAACCAAGTTACAGAAACAACCTAGGTGTCCACTGACGAACAAATGGATAAAGAAACAGTGGTACATATATGAATGGAATATTATACAGCCCAAAAAAGGGATGAAATCTTGCCATTTCTCACAACATGGATAGGCTTGGAGGACATTATTCTAAGTGAAATAAGCTAGACACAGAAAGAAAAATACTGCATAATTTTACTAATATGTGAAATCTAAAAAAAATCAAATATACAAAGAAAACAAAACAGTAGTTACCCCTGTGAGGGTGGAGAGAGAAGAATTGGAGATATAGGTAAGAGAATGTAAAGTAGCAGATATGTAGGATGAACAAGTCTAGAGATCCAAGGTACAACATGAGGACTATAGGTAATACAATTGTACTGTATATGGGATTCATGCTAAATGAGTAGACTTAGCTACTCCTCACACACACACACACACACACACACACACACACACACACAAATGGGTAACAATGTAAGGTGATGGATATGCCAATTTGCTTTACTATAGTAACCATTTCACTATCTATATGTATCCCATAATATCATGTTGTATACCTTGATTATACACAATAAAAATTATTTTTTAAAAAAAGAAAGAAAAACAGACTGAACTATAACTAAAGTTTGAAACAAAGCCAGGCCTTGAATCTAAGGTGGCCCAACTCCAAAACCTATGCTTTTAACCACTACACTGTATGGTCTATCCAAAACTATTCCTGTTAATGAGACTTGGAAACTAGTAAGTTATCTATTTTATGATGGTGGTATGGGAAAAAGAAAGAAATCAGAGAAGACATAGGTAACAGTAGCTTATTAAGGCAAAAGTTGTTACTTATAATCGTAGATCTACTACTAGTTCAATATGTCACCTTGGCTTGATAACTTTATGAATAAAGTGAAGAGAAATGGACAGACCAGACCAGGTTTTGCGCCTATTAGACTGGAGTATACTAATGGGCTTCAAGAGATCTAAAAACACTAAAATTCTGTGATTCTGGGTATGTATTGTGAACACACCAGAGCATATGCATTTTTCTGGGAAAAAGATCCATGTCTTCAGATTCTCAAGTAGGTCTGTAATCCCAACATTTTTAAATAATCTCTAAGATCCCTTTAAATTTCAAAAGTGTGTGCATCTTTCATTTTGAGTCATAGATCTCTACCTTAATTTCCATCCACTACAGAGACTGTATTCATTCCAAAATACATAACATTTGAAGGGAAAAGAACAGAAATACATATAGTCACTGTGTCAATTTGTTGAAACTAGAAAATCTGAATTTTTAGTAATTTTAAGCAACTTTTATAGACTAAGTAGACATGAAATTTGTTGGAGGAAATGTTTGCTATGTCCTGAAGAGAAATGTCAAGTATTTTTTAGTTAAGTAGCAATGACAAGAATCTTTGCACATTTTCAGAGAAGTCCTGACATTGGTAAGTAATCCAAAGGTAATACTTAAGGATGGATTTATGAAACATAAGCATTCCCTGGGGATTCTAAGAAAGATCTGGGGAGGATATTAGACTTTCATTAATTACACATAATGGGACTTGGCTGTGTTCACCATGTCTTCATAGGAGAGGAGTCTCACTTAAAGGGCAGAAATATGAGAACAAACAAGCAGTGATATGCTGATAAATGTTTAACAACTGGGTCTCCAGGAACAAAATGAAAAGCTCCGACTTGTACTGTTGGCTGATTTCTGAAAGACTTCTTGGATTAGTAAAAGTAAAAATGAACTTAGACTAAAAGACAAAAGACAGCTCTGCTGTTAATCAGACTGAAAGGACAAACAATAAAGTCAGCTACAAAGTTACCAGGACATATGCTTTCTCCCAGGGTTATGTGGCTATGAGATGTCATCACGACCCTCACTATGAGTGATTACTGCTTCCTTACCAATGCCACTTCCCAATGCCCTTTGCTATTCCTGTTGGATGCCCAATTGCTAAACCTTCTTACCCTCATGACAGTAAGAAATCCCTAGTTGATCCACACTACTAATCCTGTCACAGAAGTAGCAACCAACCGAGAATGGATTTCCCATTCCCTTAGACCCTCCTCAGACTCCTCTGGCAGGAATCCAACACTTACAAAGCACAGGTGACCTTACACAGTTCCTGCATGTGCTCTCCTTGGCTATGACTCAGTCAATATATCTGATTTTGTCAGACTAAAGGCTGGAAGTCTTTTGCTGGTTAGGCTTTAACGTTTCCATGGTGTTAAAACTCCCACCAAGGTTGCTTTTAAGCTAAGAACATGATGTCCCTGAATACAGATTTGGGAAGAGAGGAACACAATCAGCTTAGGTACAAGCTGGCCTTAGCACACCACTGCCCAGATTACACTCAACAGCCATGGAGGAGATAACGTTTTAATCTCCATCATACAGATAAGGAAACCTAGGTTCAGAGAGTTTACATATCACGAAGCTAGTGTAAGAGTCACCATTTAAATCTGTGTCTTTCTGATTCACAATGCCATGATCTTTAACACCGCACTGTGTAATATGTTATAACATTACCATCTCTTATAATAATTTCATGGGTGTGGACCTTTTAAATACTACATTCCATTCCTTGTACACAGTGCATTTTATAAGACTTTTGTAGCTTCTATACACTATGTAACATTGGGTGAAAGATTTATCATCTTTAAGCCTCAACTTCATCATCTATAAATCGGGAGGGAACAAATATAATGTCAATCTCATAGGGTAGTTGAGTAGATTTTAAAAATTAATGAATGTAAACTATTTAGCATATGGTACTTAATAAATGTTAGCTATTAAAAGTATAATGCTTTACATGTAAAGTGCTGAACAAATATTTGTCATTTTTATGGAAATTCAATGTAATAACTTTCTATAATTATCATTCAAATCACTTTTGGATTTCATATACAGATGAGATGGTTTTAAAAATACTTCTGTAATCCTGCTTCCATTATCTGTTGCTGCTTTACAAAACAAAACTTACTGGTTTAAAAGCACAATGGTGTATTATTTTTCACATTTCTCTGTGTTAACTGGGTTGTTCTGTTCCATGCATTGTTAACTGAGGTCTCTCACATGTCTACACTCAACTGAAAACTTGGCTAGGGCACTTTGGTTTTCGTTCAAGTTGTCTCTCTCTTCATGTGGTGTCTCACCCTTGGTGGCCTATATTAGTCTGTTCTCACACTGCTATAAAGAACTACATGAGACTGGCTAGTTTATAAAGAAAAGAGATTTAATTGACTCACAGTTTCACAGGCTGTACAGGAAGCATGGCTGGGGAGGCCTCAAGAAACTTATAATCAAGACAAAATGTGAAGGGGAAGCAAGCACATCTTCACATGGCAACAGGAGAGACAGAGCACATGCAAAGGGGGAAGTGCTACGCACTTTCAAACAACCAGATCTCTTGAGAACTCACTCACTATCACAAGAACAGCAAGGGGAAACTGCCCCCATGATTCAGTCACCTTCCATCAGGCCCCTCGGCCAACATAGGGGGATTACAATTTGACATGAGATTTGAGTGAGGATGTACAGGGATATTCCACATGGTGTTTCTCTTTAGCGATATAGCCTGTACTTTCTTACAGTATTATCTGGCTTCCAAGATGGAGTTTTCTAAGAAGACAACTTGAATGTGAAAGCCCTCAACAAGCCTTGCTTGTGTCACACTGGCTGATGTCCACTGATAACCACAGCAAGTTACATGACCAAACCCAGAGTCCTTGTGGAAGATGGGCTATATAAGGACATTAGTATTGAGAGGAACAGTTTGGAAAGAGGGAAATCAAAGCACGAGGCTGCCACAGATTCCTATATAAATTCATGTATAAGCCTTTTCCAGAATCAATAAGAAGATGCCAAAGAACTGATTTTAACTGAAAGAGTCTTTAGTCCTGTGAATAATGAAAGCAGAATTGAAACTGACTTAATGTTCTTTTCAGTCTGATTCTCTGTGTCGATGCGCATGGCCCTATTATAGAATGAGAATTTAGAAATAATAGCAAAGTCATTTCAAACAGCTAAGGAAAAGAGAATAAATCATGACCTCATAAGTACCACTCAATTCTACCTCTTAATGCACTAAAAAAAGTGTCATAGATTATGATAATCATTCATCTAATAACACACACAAAACATCATCATCATTAGGGTTGCCATTATAACCATTACATTTTTATTAACATTTTCTTCCTGAAATTTCTATTTGAAAGCCAATGGCAATTTTCTTTTGAAATAATTTCTAACTATGAATGGCTCCACTATGTATTTTGCTCTAAAGCCAACCTCCCCTGACAAAACCTGTTTAACTTTTTTCTTGTTCCTTTCCTGTGCCCTTCTAGGTCAAAAAAGAAAAAGACATTCTTTAAAGAGAGAACTATTATTGTATGTCTGTCATAATTACACACAAGATTCAATTACACTGCTCTGAAATATTCATTGCAAATGTGTGATTTAAAGATATCTCATTTCTATTCATGTGTAGTTCCCATACTCACAGTATAAATATTAACAGTTAATTATGGAAAATTTCACACAATAATTCCAGGAGCGGGAATATATATTAATGAATGAGTCTTTAAAAAATTATCTTGAAGTGGGAAAAGAGATGGGTGTGATGTATCTACAGTAGCCAGTGCTTAAGCTTTGGGATCTCTCATTTACCCAGATCCTTTCCAAGGCCACATTCACATAATCATATGCTTCTGTAAAATTTACCAAATGAAGATACTTTATCTTAGGGTGACCTCTGTCTCTTTCCACTGTGAGTTTCCTCCCATTGCCTGTCTCCTCAGGTAGAGTGGTATTGATGTGGCCGTGGCATTTTTAGGATCTGCTTAGGGCTACATTTAAGGTCTTGTGGGATATATTTATGTGGTTTGCAGCTGCTTCAATATATAGTTAAGTTACTGCCGGTCATCCCCATACAGAAAAGGCTTTCAGAAATACATCTTTCCTGTAAACACTGCACACATTCATACAATGTGGTCACACAAAGGCTCAGACTAGAGGTCCTATCTCCATGTGAATGTATCTTACAGTATCTGGCATGGAAGTTGATATGTTTTGGATCTGTGGCCCTGTCCAAATTCATGTGGAATTGTTAACTCCCAGTGTTGGAGGTGTGGCCTGGTGGGAGGTGATTGGATCATAGGGGGCGGATTTCCCCCTTTGGCGCTGTTCTCGTGATAAGAGTTCTCACAAGATCTTGTTGTTAAAAAGTGTATAGCACCTCCCCACTCTTTCTCTCTTCCTCCCGCCTTGGCCATGTAAGACATGCCTGCTTCTCCTTCACTTTCTACCATGATTGTAAGGGCCTCCTCAGAAGCCAAGCATATGGCCAGCATCATGCTTCCTGTACAGCCTGTGGAACCATGAGCCAATTAAACCTCTTTTCTTTATTAATTACCCAGTCTCAGGTATTTCTTTATAGCAATGTGAGATTGGACTAATGCAGAAGTTTATTGGTAATGGAGGAGAAACATAGTTTGAAATGTATGAACTAAATTGCCTTTCTATTCTGAAGGGGCAACCAAAAATACACACCAAAAACTGGAGGAGAAGAGAGTAATAAACATCTATCAGGGAATTAAAAGCATATATTAATTATACATATTAATATATACTAAGTATATATATATTAATTAAAAGTAGGTATTTCCTTTCTGGATTTTGTTGTGTTTACAGTATTTTTCAGCTTTTAAAATTTTGTAAATTGTTATGATTTCTTTTCTCAATCTACATAGATATTCACTTCATACCTAATTTCATATTAGTACTTTTGCATTAACTTCTTAAAGAAAGGTCCCCAAACTGTACAAGCAAAACCTGAATCTGCTTCCAACGGTAACTAATCCCTGATACTGTGACATATTCTCTTATTTGAGGGGGTGAGTTCTTGAACAATAATAAGATCATGTTGAGTAAACTATCTTCTTGTTTTGGGGTTTCCATTTTTCTTCTCTTTACTCATGAAGACTGATTTCTGCATCTATGAAATGTGACTTTAGTCTCATACTTTTACATTAAACTCTAACCTGTAGGAATAGTGATGAATTTTAGCCAGAGGTAGATCATTAATCATACTTGACTGATTGTATTAGCCAAGGTTCTCCAGAGAAAGAGAACAAATAGGAAATATATATATGGAAAGAGAGATTTATTTTAAGGAATTGGCTCATGCAATTGTGAAGGCTGGCAAGTCCCAAATCTGCAGGGTATGCTAGCAGGCTGGGCACCAAGAAGAGTTGGTGTTGCAGCTCAAGTCTGAAGGCAGACGGCAGGAAGAACTTCCTCTTCCTCATGGAGTTGGTATTTTTGCTCTTCAGGCCTTAACCTGATAGAGGGAGGCCCACCCACATTATGGAGGGTAATAGAATGTTAATTCTATCTTAAAAATACCTTCGCAGCAACATCTAGACTCGTGTTTGACCAAATATCGGGTCCTATGGCCTAGCCAAGTTGGCACTGAAGAACACACAGTGAAGGCGGGGAAGCAGTATTGCTACATTGACCTAAATCATGACATAAAAATATATATCCCATATTCTGTTGATTCATCTGGAGGATGGACCCTATAGAATTGAGTACAAAATTAATAAGTAAAGAACTGGATAAAGCAATCTTTATCCAGATGCCAGAGAAGTAAACAAGGTCTTAGCTCTAGATACAGCGCATAAGAAAAATGTTGAGATTTGGCCAGGTTATAATGTTGGTGCAGTCCCCAGGAAGCACCTAGAAAAAAAAAAGATTACTTTGTATTGTATTTCTTTTAATCCCTTGGAGAATTAAAAAAAAAAAAAAAACCACAAAGATATAACCATGTGAATCAAGATCCCTTACAGTTTTAATATCCTGTAACTCAATTTGATTTTATGAAATGAAATTTTGGAGAGATGAGGAGGAACTATTGAAACCAGAAGATTGGGTAATAACTCTAGATTAGGTGTGTTAATAGCATATGCTACCTTCTACCTCAGAGCCTATTAAAAAATTCTTATCTAAAAATGACAGCTTTGAGAGGCAAAGGGGTTTTAAAATCAGACATTTATAGCTTATATAATAGTTCAAAATAGCTGATTCTCTAAACAATGTTTAAAAAAAACTGCTTTTCAGGTGACTCTTAAAAAGTGCTTGAGAAGTTAAACACAAAGTAACCACCCTTTATGATCTGAAACTTTAACATTTTGAAAACGGAACTCATGAGGTGAAAAACTTTTAGTTCAGGTTTCTTCTGACAAGCATCATTCTCTTCATGCCACTGTGCAATTTAATATCATACATTGTCTATCAAATTGTCTATATGATACATCGTCTATCAAATCAGCCTCCAGACAACATTCTCTCCTGTTAGTCTCTAACTTGATTCCTCTCTGTGTTCTACTAAAAGCCTGTCTGCACATCTCCTTTCACCTACACTTCATTCATTCTCTGGCTTATATGTTCTATTTCTTAATTCTAATCCAAATCTAATACCTCATTCAAAGGTCAGATCATGTCTTAACCCCTTAATAAATATGAGTACAAAACAGAGAATCATCAAGATAATATTAAACCATTCAATATTTGTAGCAGTGGTTTTCAAACCACGCTTTTACAAAACACTCGTTTTCCTCAAGCTGACGTAAGATTTCTTAATACGAGATATTTTAACTGCTAACATTTTAATATTGGTAGTCTTTCCCCAATCTGCATATTTTTAATTAGTAGCATTTTTTAATTAAATAGCACTAATTAGTAGATAAAATTTTTGATGCTAAAGAATTTGTTCTATAAACTTACACTAATTTTTAGTATCAGGTAGAATTCACCAGATGATAAAATGAATGTCAATAAATGAATATTAAAGAAAATTAAAGAACTTATTTATTTATCTTCTGGTGGTTATTAGCTGTCACTAAATTTTATGCACGCATTCTCCTCTCTTGAAAGGAATATCCTTCACTGTAAATTAATACATCAATATTCTGATTATCCAACATATTGCCCAAAAAATAAGTTTCTGGTAGCCATA
Source organism: Homo sapiens (assembly GCF_000001405.40). Lineage (NCBI taxonomy): Eukaryota > Metazoa > Chordata > Mammalia > Primates > Hominidae > Homo > Homo sapiens. Next base: position 99,065,102 of record NC_000005.10, on the reverse strand, counting down.
CTGGCTCAAAGCGCACTAACAAATTGAGTTTCTATATCTGACATTTTAGGTTTTTTGTTTGTTTGTTTTTGAGATGGAGTTTTGCTCTTGTTGCCCAGGCTGGAGTGCAATGGCACGATCTTGGCTCACCGCAACCTCCACCTCCCGGGTTCAAGCAATTCTCCTGCCTCAACCTCCCAAGTGCCACCATGCCCAGCTAATTTTGTATTTTTAGTAGAGATGGGGTTATTCCATGTTGGTCAGGCTGGTCTCAAACTCCCAACCTCAGGTGATCCGCCACCCTCAGCCTCCCAAACTGCTGGGATTACAGGCGCGAGCCACTGCGCCCGGCCAACATTTTAGTATTAACCCTGAGCTTTGACATCTCCACCAAAGCATCGCCATCACACAAGACCATGCAGAAACAGTCAGCCTTCCAACTTACCCTCATCACTCATTCTAGAAATGCAATGTGGATTTTGTGTTTATCCAATTGTAAGTTATTCAAATACATAGACTATGACTTCCACTTCTTGTGTATCCTCCACACCACCTATCCCATTACTGACATGTCAGAGACACTTAATAGATGTTTATGGTATTGTTATTTCTGCCATGGTATCCTCCAATGTTAGAAGATCTACCAGTCTTCACCCAACTACCACCACCCACAAACCCATACATGTCTTCCCAGCACCAATGCTAGCTGCTGATCTCTTGGTCAAAACCAAGGAGTAATTGGAGACTGATGTTTTGTTTTGTCCCCAAACCTCAACCCCCACAACCCTGCACTGGTCCCCACAGTGTATACATTTGCTCTCCTAACTCTGAACTACTGAAAAAGAAGCAACAGAAAATGACACCCTCACTCACCTCTTTTCTGGCAGCTAAATTTCTAGAAATTCAAAGTGTTCTGGCCTGAAAGCCAGAACATCTGCATCAACAGCATTAGTAGTGCTAACTACTTTTATCAGAGGCTTCATTTATATCGGGCATTGTACTAAGCACTTTACAAAGATCATCTTGTTTATTCTTCTTAATACACCTATGAAGTATGTTCTGTAACTTGAGGACTATTTTCCATAAATCCTACATTGGATCTGTTACGGAAAAGAAAACTAGGATTCCTAATGAGGCCTTGCAGTGGGGATGAGAAAGAAACAGCAGTCATGATGACTAAGCCCCGGGCAGTCAAGAGAATGTCCCCAGGAGAGATAGATGATGACACCCAGGATCAAATACTCTTTGCCTCCTTACCTTACGGCTATTCAAGGAAAAGGAAAGATTTTGTGTATATGAGCTAAATGAACCTGAATTAACTGAGACTGTTTTCCTTAATAGATAAATTAGACATTCATAACAGAAACTAACTCCAGTTACGGAAAAATAAACCTGTATTTCTTGCACAACTCTATTTGTGGACTCACATAATAATATCACCCCTCTGCTTCTGGAAAAAATAAAAAATAAAAAATCCTGAGATTCTGACATTAACATGTCTGTCCATGATCATACAGCTATTTATTGATGGTATCCAGATTTAAAGTCATAAGGTCTGAATCCAGTCTTCCAGAAGGTTTGCCGTTTCTGTGTATCTTCGGGTCATCAAGAAAAGGTGAAAATGTATTTAGCTCATAGCACTGTTTGATAAAAATCTAATTCAAAATACATATATAATTTTAAGTTTTCTGGCAGCCACAAGGTAAAAAGTCAAAAGAAACAGGCAAAAATAGCTCATAACATATTCCTTTTTAAAAATAGGTATATAAAATATTACCAATTTAACATGTAATCAATATTTTTAAACTTTTAATAAACTATTTCACATTCTTTTTTAATTTAAAGTCTTCAAAATCTGATGTGCATTTTATACTGACACTACATTTCAATTCAGCTTAGCCACATTTCAAGGGCTCAATAGCCGCGTGTGGCCAGTGGCTACTGTATTGGTCAGTGCTGGCTTAAGTAAAAGAATAAAGTGATGATTCAAACTCATCAGAAGGGACACTTTATGGTCGCCACTCATGTCGTCCCCAGATACTCATTCCATAGTGTGCAGCAGGAAGCACAGCCCTCCTGTCTGTCTTTCTCAGAACTTTACCTTTCTTTGAAAGAAAGCTCAGATTTTTCAGGAGTGGAACTTAACATTTTCTTCTAGTATGACAATTTTCATTTCAAAAATGTCTCTCACTTTAGTTAACAGCTTTACCGAGGAATAACTGACATACAAAAACTTACTTTTATGTGGAGAGAAAAGTTTTATTTTGCCTTAGTAACTGTCCTTGGTTTTATTGATGATCTCAGTTAAGCCTTGCCACCTATAAGGTAGGTACCACTAGTGTTATTTATCCAATGTCATAACATCAGGAAATTGAGGCTCAGACTATTGAGAGAACTCGTCCTAGGCAATTCACCAAGAAAGTTGGGGCATCTGAGTTCAAAACTAAATAGGCTGCCTCCACTTAGCAATCAGGAGAATCTATTTTTATATTATTGGGCCATAAAATGTGAGAAGCAGAGATGGGGAGGTGGGAGCATTTTAATATAATTACCTTGCAAAATAGAAGAAACAAAAATGTCTTTATGCAAATTTCTAGCTAATCAGTCAAATTAGCATACCTTGTTATGCTTTCTATTGTTTTATATAATAATTTGGCAATTTGGCAATTGCATAAAAGGATATGTACCAATGATTCTAATAATAGATAATGCCTTTAGGTAATGCCTACTTACTTATATACACATTTGTTTGACCATTAGGTCTCTTATAACTTTCGTATTTGTAAACAATGAGCTTAATAACAATTTGACATGTTTGCTGAACACATCACAAAGTGAGAGTACTTTATAAAACAGAATAGTGTGAGATTTTTAGTATTATGCTGTCATGATACATTCAAGCACTTTTGAAACTATACTGAAAGTTTTCATGGATGTGCTCCTCCCCTAAAGAGCAATTTCTGGAATATTTTAGAAATATGAGGGCTGCCAATATTTTTCCTCTAAAGATGTTCCTTCCCTCCTTGTAACCTGGTCACCACTGTCCACTATCACCTTTGTCACCATTAACTAATATGGAGAGAATCCTACACAAGCCTAAGTTGCATTCTTCCTAGATGCAGACATGCCTGAGCATTTCTGAAGAATGGATGAATCAGAGCCACAAGGAATCAGTTTGAGAAAATTAAAAACAGCCTCAGAGCAAAGAAAAAGAAGTGAAACTTACTGTTTCATCTAATAAAAATGCCCTGGGTAAAGACTGCAAGGAGTGATATAAAGCGAGTGTGTCTCATCTTGTTCTGTGACTTCCCCTCTTCCTCATAGGCTCTCTCTTCCTTCTATCTCTCTGGGAACCCGAGGGGAAGAGCCTTTGACAGAAATATAAGACAGCTGCCTAGCTCAAAGGTCAGAGAGCTACTGGGCACACAAATCAGCATTGCTTTTGAACTTTGAAAAACTATAGAACAAGAGTGGGATTTTTTCCCATTTGGCCAATACAGATCTAAGAAGTCAAAAAACTTGGTGAACCTTGGCATACCTAGAGCACCAGCACATCAGCAGTGACCAAGACCTCTCCACACAGAGCATTGCCCCAGTGACCTCAGCTGGCCTCAACAAGGCAGGAGCAGCCACCTCATGGCAACAGATTCAGGAGACACCTACATATACACAAACAAGCAACACGTGGCAGCCTGCATCTCCTAGGGTCCAGCTAAAGAAAGGAAAGTGTTTGTGTGGTGGCCGAGAAAACTATTTGAACACCTATGGGAATTTACAGGAACTCCCAGAAATAGTTGAGATAGGGACACCTGGAAGTGGCTGGAGCTCCCACAAAGGCAGGTATACAGTCAAAGAAATAATTTACATGACCACTGCTATGAGCCTAATTTTTTTTCCTAGCTTTGTGTGGTCTGGGCATGGGTTATACCCTGACTCATTAAGCCCTATTATCACATTAGCACTGTGCTAATCCCTCTACTGTTACTCAGACTCCAGCTCATCGTAAATGCTCAATGATGCTCAATTAATCTTTCCCGACCACAAGAAGGAAAATTAACGTGTCAGTGGAGGACAGGATGAGGAGGATGGGCCAAAGGAGAACACTGTTGTAGGAGATGCTAGGAAAGGAATGGCAGTCGGATGAGTTATGGAATTGTGCTGGAGGACCCATCCTGCAGTGGCAGACTGCCAGGACTCCAGTGACCACGGTGGGTCTTGACCCTGGAGCTGGGAAAATAAATGCTGAATGGAAGCCTCCCCTTTAGTCAAGTCCTAAATTGAGAAGGAAGGAAGCAGAGATGATTGATATTCTTGCAATTAATTATTATCAATATAAGTTAGAACCAACAATCCATCTAACAAAAAATGTAGTAGGAATTTCATTGCTTTATCGGGAGGTTTTTTTTTTTGTCTTATGTTTGCTTTAATAGAAATTTCTCTCAGTTCAATTCTGTAACTGAGCAAAAATTGTCACACTATTTCAGAAATTCAAATTATTTTGCATAAACAAATAGGAAAATTATTCGTTTTTTCAAACTTCCCTAAACAAGGGAGCTGCCAAAAACACTAGGAGCATTTGTCCACAAGAGGGCGCCAGAAGCCGACGGTTTCTGAGTTTGATGACAAAGTCAAAGGAGGAAAAACACCAAATAAAAAGCGATAGGTAGATGTATCTGGTTCACATGCTTGCCTTATGCTAATGCTTACATCGTATTGAACTCCCTTTAGAGATTCAGGATGTTAAATATGTAAATAGCAACCTCTGAGCAAGGGAGATAGTGGTATCTTTCTATTGAAATTGCCTTGCGACAGTGGGGTTTTTTAAAATGAATTAATTTTAATAGGTTTTCCTCCACTTAAAGGGGAACTGGAAATGCCATTTCAATTATTAGAATCATTGATACATGTCTATTTATGCAATTGCCAAATTGTTACATAAAACAATAGAAAGCATAACAAGATATCTACCGAAGTATATCATTGTTAATTTGCTAAGCAATGCCAATTGTAAGGATTTGGATTTGAAATGAAGCTGCAATGTAGAATACAAACAGAAGATTTTAGAATATTCTATTATAAAAAGAGACAGAAATAACATTGTTTTTAAAAGGGGAAGGACACAATATGTGATAGCAAATTACAGTAGAAATAGATTTATTTTTTTTTTTTTTCAAAAAAGAAAAGGTCAATGGTATTGAGGAACTAAGAGTTCAACTATTTTCAGCAGGAACATGTGAAACTGATGACTGTGACAGGTGCACACCATGTGATTTTATTCATAGTATTCAGTCTCTCACAACTGTATTTACTTTTATATGCAAATAATAACTGTTAATGAGTTATATCATTTCATTGTATATTTCTTAATTTCTTAAATTTCAGCATTTAAAATTGTAACCCAAACACCACACCCTTTATTTTATTTATTTATTTAACTACCTATTTGCTTACTTCTAGAGACAGAGTCTGACTCCGTCACCCAGGCTGGTCTTGATCTCCTGGCCTCACTATGTTGCCCAGGCTGATCTTGAACTCGTGGCCTCAAGTGATCCTCCCACCTCAGCCTTCCAAAGCACTGGGATTACCAGCATAAGCCACCTCACCCAGCCTACACCTTTTATTATGGAAGGGTAGGGTAGTATACTTGATAATCCTAGAGTCTTGTGGGCCAGTCAAGCAGACACACAGAATTTAAAAGAATAAACAAATAGCTTAGATTGGAGCAACATGTTCAACCTCTATATAATCCACAGAACAGTGGAATCTTGGAGTGGATTCTCTATTTAATTCATCTCTTAGTGTATTAGTTTTCTATTGCCACATAATTAGTTATCTCAATACACGTGGCTTAAACCAACACAGATTTATTATCTCAGTTTCTTAGGGTGAGGAATTCAGGAGAATCTTAGCTGGTGTTGGCTCAGGGTTTCTCATAAGGTTGCAGTCAAGATACCAGCCCAGGCTGTAGTCATCTGAAGGCTTGACTGAGAGGAAAGGATATACCTCCAAGATTGCTCACTTGGAGGGGGTTCTCAGTTCCTTACCTATGGACCTCTCCACAGAGCTGCTTGAGAGTCCTCACAACATGGCAGCTGTCTTCTTCATGATTAAGTGGTCCAAGGACCACATGTCTTTCATGATCTAGCCTCAGAAGACAAACTCCATCATTTCCACAATATCCTATTAGTTACACAGGTCAGCCCTTTTCAGTGTTGGAGGAGACTATATAAGAACATGAATACCAGGAGGCTAGAATTCTTGAGGGCCATCTTGATGTCTGGTGCCACACCTAGCTCCTCCAGTGTTCAAGATATTTATGGCATCCCCATATGGCCAACATAAATGTAGGCAGAAAAATATCTTTGCCAAAGGCCTTTTCTATCTCCTTCCTCCCACAACCTCTACAACCCTCTTCATATCCCTTTTCTCCTTGCCCTCATCTCCTTCAACCAAACCCCATGAGTCAGTCATCTGGTCCTTCCTTGTTCAGCTCCTTCACATTCCATTGCCAAGTTGTTGCAGAGATTTTCAGTTGCTGAAGGCAGAAGAGAGAAGAGAAAAAAATCTTCATTTAGGTCAGTCTTTTACCTTTTCGGTATAGGGCCATTAGCTTCTTCATACTATCAAAATCAACACATATTAGTATATCGTTTGCACTTTATTGTACTGAAGAATATCTGTCTCCTTTTTGAGTCAAATTCGCCACAGCTCTGTTTACTTGCTCTCAACAGGAGTCAGTCTTCACATGAGACATGTGGTGGGGAGATGAGGGGAGGGGAATCAGAAATCCATATTGCCACACAACAATTACAATCCACAAATTACTTGTAAATTATTCCTTTGGTATACCTCTTGTCTAATAAAATATAACCTTGCAAATGTAAACAGTGACTACTTAGAAGAAGGTTAGAGATTCATTGAAGAGGGGGAGTCTTTGAAATGAATCAAGGAAGAGAATACCATGGTGTCTCCCTTCACCTACACGAGAGGACAGGGGTGTGTTTCCCTAAAAGCAAGCCAAGGAAAGGGGACCCTAAGAGGACCACTCAGAGATGAAAGTTTTCTCCAAGAGATAGTTCACTCCTTAGGTGGAAGTTTGCTGAGTGGCAAAACTATGTAGGCAAATTGATGAGAGTATTTGGGGAAGCTCTGACATGTCTCAGTTATTTCTCCACGCATGAAGAGACAGACTGGGACTCTAAAGGAATCTGTAAGCAAGAGACCGCTGGAACAGCCCATAATGGTAGGGCAAGGACAGAGACTGACAGGCAAAATGGCCTACACCTCCAGCGTTTAGCTGGCCCTAGATGCACGAATTTTCCCATTTTCCATCATTCTGCCTGCTCTGGGAAGAAAACTGCATGAGTCTAGCAGAGTAAGAACTGAGGTAGGGAGATTGGAAAGCATCAGCCAGTAAGAGCATTACAAACACCAGGAAACTACAGTGCAAAGATCCCTGTGGGTGGAGAGGAAGGCAGAGAACACACAAAATCATCCCACAAGAGAACTAGTGATGGACACCTGCCAAGGTAAAGAGTAATCGGCATTGGTAAAACAGCCCCAGGCTAGACACAGTGGCTCATGCCTGTAATCCCAGCACTTTGGGAGGCCGAGGCAGGTGGGTCACTTGAGGTCAGGAGTTCGAGACCAGCCTGGCCAACATGGTGAAGCCCCATCTCTACTAAAAATACAAAAAATTAGCCAGGCATGGTGGCACATGCCCATAATACCAGCTACTCGGGAGGTTGAGGCAGAAGAATCGCTTGAATCCAAGAGGCAGAGGTTGCAGTGAGCCGAGATTGTGCCACTGCACTCCAGCCTAGGCGACAGTGCAAGAGTTCGTCTCAAAAAAAAAAAAAAAAAAAGGAAGGAAGGGAGGCAGGGAGGGAGGGAGAGAGAGAGATGAGAGAGAGAGAGAGAAAGAAAGAAAAAGAAAGAAAGAAAGAAAGAAAGAAAGAAAGAAAGAAAGAAAGAAAGAAAAGAAAGCCCCAGAAAAAAAAAAGAATAATACCCAGTAATAACTACTCCCATAAAAATATCCAGTAACACCTAACAATTACTGAGTAAGTGCTTTACATAAATCAATTATATGATCGTCAGAACCGTAAGTCATTATTTTGAAAGTCATTATTGGTATTGTGAGGAAGGGACACTGTGGAGACACATAACCAAGGTGACCAAGCTAGTGGGTGGTAGGGCCTCCAACCCCACGTCTCTCACTCCAGAGTTCATGATCTTAACCCCGTTTAACTGCCTCCTTTTTAACCCCTTTACCTCTCTTCACACCCCTGCCCCCGACCTGGACGCTGGAAGAGCCAGGAACAGCATAGTGAGCTGGAACTAAGGAGATAGAAAGAAGAGTTAACACCTCCGCCGTCTCCACCTACATCACTAATTCCTAAAACAGGGTCCAGCTGGAGGCTGAGGCAGGAGAACGGTGTGAACCCGGGAGGTGGAGGTTGCAGTGAGTGAGATCACACCACTGCACTCCAGCCTGGGCGATAGAGCGAGACTCCATCTCAACAACAACAACAAAAAAAAAACAACAGAGTCCATGCCGAGCCTAAAGTGAAAAAACTTTAAAGTGAAGGCAAGATTAGAATGCTGGCTTAGAATGGACTTTTAAACACTTGTTGGCTGGGCGCAGTGGCTTACGCCTGTAATCCCACCACTTGGGGAGGCTAAAGGGGGTGGATCACCTGACGTCGGGAGTGTGAGACCAGCCTGGCCAGCATGGTGAAACTGCGTCTCTACTAAAAATACAAAAAATTAGCTGGGCATGGTGGCGCATGCCTGTAGTCCCAGCTACTCAGGAGGCTGAGGCAGGAGAATCACTTTGAACCCGGGAGGCAGACGTTGCAGTGTGTCGAGATCCCACCATTGGACTCCAGCCTGGGCAATAGAGCAAGACTCCATCTCAAAAAAAAAAAAAAAAGTAAATAAATAAACACTGTTAATGACTGACAAACTAAGAGATCTGTTTAAAAAACGCTGTCAAATAGTGGGAAAGGGGAAGTCCAAAACTCAGGTGTGATATATAGTGGTGGAAAAATAAAGCTATTTTCTGATTGTATACTACGGAATCCAGATCATTCAATAAACGCTGCTTTTAGTAGCTTTTTATAGCTGCTTTTAGTAGTTTGAAACAGACAAATTTGTGCTTATCCTTCTGCCATGCAGATCAAGAGAATTAACTCACCAATGTGTGGACAAGATTAATTTTAGTCATAAATGTATTAAAATATAAGTCTGGAAGGACAGTGAGAAATATCTATTCTCCTTTCAAAAGACTATGTTAAGTCTAACCAATAATGAAAAATAATTGGGCACACAATGTAAATGAAATATAAAGGAAAAATGATTATTGTTTTCAAAGAGTAATTGAATCATGACTTAATAACAAAAGAAAAAACTAATAAGATTTATTTGCATGTTTTTTCAAAAACTCACAACTCTGAAAATTTACAACTTTAAAAATTTTTCTTATTAATTGATTCATCTTTTTACTTTAATACTGGCAGTACAATAAATGACTCAAAACAGTCAAAGCTGTAGGATACATGGTAAAATAGTCTAACTTCCACAAACCACAACTTAGAGTTTGAAGTAAGTTAGACAAATAACCTTTATTTTTCTTCTATCCGCAGATATAAATCATTCTTGAAAAAAAACAGATTTTCTAAAGACATCTGTTTTTCTAGCAGGTTACACATCTAAAACTCTCTCAAGAGTTACTGAGGAAAAAAATGTCAAAAACATTGATATTTTGTACCAGATGATTGCCTAAATGACTTCCCTAAGACATTTTACATATAAAAGAGGTCTGAAGAAAAAAAAAAACCCCTTCTTAGAAAACCTAAGTTCTCTACACAGTCTTTAAAGTTCACTAATCTTGGAAAGGAGGTCATCTCTAGATGAGAAGAGAAACCATTTCAAGGAGCTGAAACCCTAAACAATGGTTCAGTCTGGGGTTTGTAATTGTGCTCACAGAGGGCACAAAAATAACCGTTACCTCATTTTGCTTCCTTCCTGACCTATTGTAATTTTCAAGTGTAATATACTTTTTAAAAATTAATTTTATCACCATCTCCATTTTTAACTGAGGATAAAATTAAAGGGAAAGAATTCCAACTTTTTGACTAACAGCAATAAATGTTAGGCCATACCTCCAGAAATTCTGAGTTGTAATGCATCTTGGGTTAAAACTGAATATTAATACTTTTTTTTTTTTTTTTTTTTGAGACGGAGTTTTGCTCTTTTTGCCCAGACCGGAGTGCAATGGCGCGATCTCGGCTCACGGCAACCTCCGCCTCCCAGGTTCAAGCGATTCTCCTGCCTCAGCCTCCCGGGTAGCTGGACAGAGTCTTGCTCTGTCATCCAGACTGGAGTGCAGTGGCATGACCTCAGCTCACTGCAAACTCTGCCCCCCGGATTACAGGCATGCATCACCAACGCCCAGCTAATTTTGTATTTTTAGTAGAGACGGGGTTTCTCCATATTGAGGCTGGTCTCGAACTCCTGACCTCAGGTGATCCGCCCGCCTCGGCCTCCCAAAGTGCTGGGATTACAGGCGTGAGCCACCAGGCCTGGCTACTATTTTTTAAATAGTTTCCCTAGGATGAGAACCACTGCTCTGGTTCATTTGTGTATACAGGTATGCCTTGTTATTCCTTTACTAATAAGACCTTATGTCCAAACCTAAAGAGTAGGCAGATGCAAACCTCCAGCTATACCTACGTGCAGAGTCTGCCTTGTGTGTTCAACATTCCTGTAATTCTGCAACTACACTGTTCCTGGTCATTCACTGTAGTTTTCCGAGTATTATAACACATATCTTAATTGTGAATCTAAATGAGTCCTAAATGGAATTTAAAAGCTGTTTTTTAAACCATTAAACATATTAGGTGCCTAGACACTATGCATTCATTGAGCCTTTGCTAAAACTGAAATTAGGGCATTGTTTTTACTTCAAATGACCCTTATTACAAATTTATTTAGTATTCATTGGAACAGCATTTTTTGGAATGACATTTGTATTTAAATGCATGTATATTTATTTCTATAGATATTCCATTAATACAGTCTTTGTTAAAAATTAGTTGATACTTCCTCAATTGCCTTATTTGGGTGGAGATGAGTCCTCCCTTCTTTCAGAAGATCCCTGAAGCTGGCCTGATCAAGAGTTCTGGGTACGTAAGGCAAAGTCTCTGGTCTCATTTTGCCATACAAGCCAATCATCATTATTGCAACTGAATCCTCACTTGGTGAGAAAAATCAGGAAAATGTTCATTCTCCAATTATAATGTGGCATATAAAACTGCACAATAATGGCCAAGATAGACATGGAAGCTAGGTAGGAAAAATCATTTTCCATTTGTAAAATATAAGAGTGTCTTTTCAACCAGCAAGGCCATCTAGTCCTTTATCTAACTGCTGATGTTAAAAATAAATATCAGTATTTATGCATTTTTATTCAACAAGAATAACAGTTATTATTTAACTAGCATTTATATTACCATTCATATCTTTTCTCATTCTCATGGCAAATCTATGAGACCAAAAAAAAAAAGACAGGCAAGCTGGAGCTTAGAAATATTTAATGATTTTTTTTTCAGTGTGAAATAGCAAAATGATGGCAAAAGCAAGACCAAATTTTGAATCTCTCTTTTTTTTTTTTTTTTTTTTTTTAGATGGAGTCTTGCTCTGTTATCCAGACTGGAGTGCAGTGGCATGATCTCGATTCACGGCAACCTCTGCCCCCCAGGTTCAAGCAATTCTGACTCATCCTCCCAAGTAGCTGGGACTACAGGCACCAGCCACCACGCCAGGCTAATCCTTGGCCTCCCAAAGTGCTGGGATTACAGGCATGAGCCACCGTGCCTGGCCTTGAAACTCTTAATTCTTACTTTATCTCTAATATAAATGTTAATATATATTAGTTAAATGCAGGGGTATTTCTCTCAGTAATTGTATTAGTCTGTTTTCTGTTGCTTATAACAGAGTACCTGAAATTGGGTAATTTATAAAGAAAATAAATGCATTTCTTAAGGAGGCTGAGAAGTCCCAGGTTGAGAGGCCACATCTGGAGAGAGCCTTCCTGCTGATGGGGACTCTCCGAAGAGACTTGAGGTGGTGAGGGGCATCACATGGACAGGGGCTGAGTGTGCTGAGGTGCTCATTCCCTCTTCCTCCTCTTAGAAAGCCACCAGTCCCACTGCCATGACAACCCATTAATCCATTAACCCATTAATCCATGAATGAATTAGTCCATTCATGAGAGCAGGGCCCTTATCACCCAGTCACCTCTTAAAGGCCCCACCTCTCCAATACTGCACAACGGAGATTACATTTCAACAGGAGTTTTGGAGGGGACAAATATTCAAACTATAGGAATAATTGATCAAGCAACAAGTATTTCTTATTTGCCTAGCACTGTATCCTCAGGCCCCATAGGATGCAAAGAAGAAAAAAGCATAATCTCATAGAATTTAAAGTCTGGTTGGGTCTTGCTAAATTACTACCTCATTTAAATTTTAAATTTTTATTTTTTTAATTTAATATTTTCCATAATACTGTGGCAGATACAACCAGACAAACAAGAATGTGAGAAATGCTACAGAATTAGTTATGTATTTTCTTAAACAAACAGAAACCAGTTTTTAAAAAAGAAAAAAGAAAGACAGAAACCTACTGATGAAAAACTGTTAAGACAAATGTGGCCCTTGTTTAGATCCTACTTTGAATAAACCTACTGAGGGAATAGGAACATTGAACATTTAATGATAGCAAGAAATCATGGGTCATTTCTTTGAAGAGCAATATTAATATTTTAGTCACGTTTTTTAAATAGCCATCAAATTTTAGAAATAAAATTGAAAGGTTAACAGCCAGTTAATAATAGATAAAATTAAAAGGTTAGCAGCCAGCTATTGTTTACTGAGCATGTCATATGCTCCAAGGACTGTTGTAAGTATATTGCATGTATTTTCTCATTTAAAACTTACAACATTAAACATTGGGTCTCATTTTACAGATGAAAAACCGAGGGTCAGATTTCTTAAAAGCAATACCTACAATCATAGAGCTAGCAAATGTTTGAGCTAACGTTTGAACCCAGGTCTGTCTGATTACAAAGTTCACACCTTAGGTCCTCTGTCTGCAGTTAATTGTGTTTGTACATACTGCAGAGCACGAAGCTATGCTTTTAAAGGGAGAAGAAATAAAAAAAAATTCTAATTTTCTTTTTGAAACCAGAGCAATCAAAACTTTTACTGCTACTGAGAGTATATAAGAAATGCTCTCACAAAGAGCAAATCAGATTTTCTTTTGATTGTCACTGTAAGGAATTTGAGAAATTTCTTAGGGGACGCAGAAACATTGTTCTTCTCCTAAATTGGTTCTATAAATTCAGCCAGTGAGTGAACACATTCAAGAACAAGGGATATGGCAGAAAAGGCATTTAAATCACTTCAACTTCAAAATGCTTCGTGCTCTCTAAAACCTTTTGATCATTAAGCCAGCAGTAAGAGGATGTCTAAGTTAGAACATTTTGGGGAATATTTTCCAGAAAGTTTGTAAGAAATACTGATCTTTGAACTGAATGAATTTTCTTCAATAACATATTTGAAGGCAGATGAACCAGTGACAGCCTATTGTTATGAATGCAGTGAATCTTTTATGATGTCTTAGAAAATAATTGGATGTGGTTAAACCCAAGGGTAGAGAGATAGGACTGGAAAGATGATATTTAGAGATACAGAAGCAGCAATGTCTCTCAGATGAACATGTTTGTCCTAATATCTTCTCATGTGAAAAAATAGTGTGAGCCAGCACTAACATATTTTAAAATTTCGGAAGGGGAAAAAAAGAACTATTGCCTGATCTCCATCCATCCACCTCTCTACATGTAAAGCAGACGATGTACCATTCAGCATAGCAATGTCCTTCATATGCAATACTTTATATTTGTAAAATATGTACAAGGAAAGAGCTAGCAGAAGTATATTATATCCACCCTGTAATTCCAGCTACTGCTTCTTATCTCCACCTGTAGCAAAAGATGAATTTGCAGATAAAAGAAAGTGCTTCTTCTCTGAATACTCTCTTCAGATAATACAATTTTATATCTGTTATCAGAGAGTCAAAGAAATTTAAAATTGGGAATGATTTTGAAATTACCTAGTCAAACTTTCCTGATTTGCATATAGAAAAAGTAATCCCAAAGAACTGACTCTCCAATATATTGCACATTTTCAGATTCTTTTTTATCAAAAAAATTGACTGAATTATTAGTCAAGTAATTTACCTAAGGTAATAATAGAGCTGGCTAATGAAAGATCTGGGACTAAAAATAAAACTTTCTTACCCCTCAGGATCATTTTGGAGCAAAAGACTACCTAGATATATTGGGAAATTATAATTAAGCCTTCAAGGATAACTGTGCATATTTTAGCTAAATCTTGCTTTATGACATAAACATCCCACGGGATGAAAAATTTTAAAATTTCAAATATGACATGAGAATAACCGAGTTCTGTAAATATATATGTTTCTGCATTTCAAAGTTAAAACATTAGTAACAAATATAGAAAATATTCTGAAAGGACTATAAAGAAGTAATAGCTTCCTTAAGAAGTAACACACTTCAAGCCATTCTATGAAAAAGGCACGCATTGGGCATTGTGTGCACATTGAAGTACTTTTTCACCAGGAAAATTATTTGAAAAGGTCCTGTATTTAGCATTTCTGAACAATGCTGTATTGTTCATCTGAAAGTTCCTATGGCATTTTAATTTGTTTTTAAACATTCAACTGGATTCAGAATTCTGAAGGTATATGAAATTTTATCTAATTTTAAAATTCACAAGAAATCTCATAAAACAGTGAACACGAACAAAGCGGTATTGAGCAAAAAATTGCAGATGAAGTTATACCAAGAAGCAAAAGCCAACTAAACTCTATTGTTATCATCTCTAATGCTAGTCTTTGAACTTAATAGAAATATTTTTTCTTAAAAAGACATAAATTGGCCAGGCATGGTGGGTGATAATAATAATTACACACTTTGCCGTGGTATATAAAAACATTAAATTTTGTCTTTTTAAAAAATTTTGTCCTGAAGATATAGAGGAGACCAACTAATTGTTTCAAATAACTAAGTCATTTATATCTGTAGGAGATGCATGTAGGGAATATCAAAATAGTAACAAATCTAAAGTTTAAATCTTCCAAGACATGAAGTCAAGAGGAATTAAATGTAATGGATGAATATGATCATGCCAAAAACATAAAAGAGCAGGTCTGAAGAGGCTCCTTCTGGCCAAATTTGGGATAATTTGACATCAAAATAATAATAATAATAGTGAATTATAATGCGTTAAAATTTCTTCATTATTCAAAGTGTTAACAAGGAAAGAAAGAAAAATGAGAGAGAGGAGATAAAGCTAGTTTGGCAAACTATTAATAACTGGTAACTAAATAAAAGATATGGAAATTCATATGTCATAATTGGAAAGCTTACATTCAATCAATTTATTGATGTTAGCTATTTCTATTTAAAAATATATATATAGACAAACATGGAGTGGTCTTCTTGTTATCTATGAAAGAAGAATTTGGAGAGCCTTATTTGAGTGGTGCTGGGTTTCTAGCACTTTCTGGAGGACAGGGCATAGGACTTTTTATTAATTTGACAGTTAAACCACCATTATGAAACTGAGTATGCCAGGGCAGGCATGGTGGCTCATGCCTATAATCCAGCACTTTGAGAGGCTGAGGAGGACGGATCACTTGGGGTCAGGAGTTCAAGGCCAGCCTGGCCAACATGGTGACCCATGTCTCTACTAAAAACACAAAAATTAGCTGGCCGTGGTGGCAGGCACCTGTAGTCCCAGCTACTCCAGAGGCTGAGGCACAAGAACCACTTGAACCCAGGAAGCGGAGGTTGCAGTAAGCCGAGATTGAGCCACTGCACTTCAGCCTATGCGACAGAGTGAGTCTCAAAAAAATTTTAAAAAAAGAAAATGAGTATGCCAAGGGCCAACTGTAGTGACACAAGTTATTAAATTATCCTGAGTCTCTGCTCATGAAGACAACTCAACAGATTTGGGTAGGGGTAAGGGAGGAGAACTATGTTGAGTACTCAATATGCTCTACTTGGCAGACAAAGTTTTATTGACATTATGATTGATACATCAATTTTCTCCAGTTTTAGTGAGTATACATGGTTAAATATGTCTAGTCAATTAGGAAAAAATGTGTTTCTGAGTTTTTAGACAAGCAAACATCGGCAACAGAACAAAGACATGATCGATAACAGAATAGTTTTTTTTAATTAGAGCCTTTATTTTACTACCAAGTATTTCTGAAGTGACCTTGAAATCTAGTAATAATATCAGCAACAAACTAATGTCAGAGGATAAGAAACAGATAGAATTTTATGGTATAAACATCTTCAGGAAAGGCAAAAGAACTTTGACACACTTTCCAATAAAAGACAATATAGACTCTTAGTTAAGAGAGGTTTCAGCCGGGCACGTGGCTCATGCCTGCAATCCCAGCGCTTTGGGAGGCCAAGGTGGGAGGATCACTTGAGGTCAGGAGTTGGAGACCAGCTTGGCCAACATGATGAAATCCTGTCTCTACTAAAAACAAAAATTAGCCGAGTGTGGTGGCAGGCACCTGTAATCCCAGCTACTCGGGAGGCTGGGGCAGGAGAATCGCTTGAACCAGCGAGGTGGAGGTTGCAGTGAGCAGAGATCACACCACTGCACTCCAGCCTGAGTGACAGAGTGAGACTCTGTCTCAAAAAAAAAAAAAAAAAAAAGGAGGAGACTTCAACAAGACAATTTTTTCAACTCTCATCTGTGTATTTCTTTGAAGGATCTCTAATTCCCACAGATGAGTGAGTTGAAATTAATTCATTCAACCAGCATTTGTTCTGAGTCTGTTACATGTGAGGCTTCACTCTGGAGATTCAGCACTGGTCCCTACTTTCATAAATGTTTTGTTATATATTGTCTGTAATTTATTATAAAATTCTTCAACATGGATGGCAAGGTAATTTTCTTTCACAGAGGCCCTAGTCTGCCAAACCACACTCTATTTCATGTGTTATACTGGCCTAATTAATGCATCAGGTTATTTCAGCTTCCAGCACACCACCAGAAGACAAATTAGGGGGACCCCATAATGACAAATCCGGATATTGTCAAATCTAAGACAGTCTTACAACTAATCAAAATTTTCTAAAGATTATGACATGCCAGATGTCCTGGATCCTTGGTATTTACCCTGTAACAAATATTGGCCATATAAATTGTTTCTGGGACCAGCTACAAGACAGTGCCATAATCTGTCTGGATACCCAAGGAGAGGGTTATGGTAGCAGGTGGAAAGTAACAGGATATCAGCATTGGAATCTGACTAATTTGTGGGAACCTTCTCAGCACCAAATAAATATTATAGATGAAATCATCAAGATGAAATGGAAATTATGGAATATCATGGGAAAACCCTGGAAGGAAAAGATTACAGTAAGTGAATCAAATACACCCTTACACGGAAATATAATGAATAAAAAAAGAACAATGATTAGTATATTTACAAATGCTTAGGATATTTTACATAACAACCAGAAACAAATAAGAAATGAAATACACTATAACAATTGTTCCCGGATAGCCATTTTGGCACAAGCACAATGGGAATTATTTTTTAAAATTAATAGAATATGTATTATAAAGCAGCCACATTGGACAGGGTCAGTTAGAGTTCTGAAGACAGATATCTGCTCAGTGAACTGCCTCCAAATTATAGAAACAAAAGAAAGAATTAACATGTATTCCACCTTTTTAGAAGGAATTGTGATTTAGAAAATTAAATAGACCCAGTTGAAGGAAAAAGCAGTCTACATGATGAAGAAAGCTAACTAATAAGTGTGAAATAAATGATAAGAATCACAGATATAACTATTTGCCCTGATTAGATTATCGATGCAGCCAACTCTTATCAATTGGTGTTAAAATAAAATGACATAAATGGCTGTTGGTGACCTGAAAATTCACAGTTCTAGCCAAAAAAATTTGATCACAAACTGAGAAACATAATTTTGCAATAGAAGAATCAGACTTTTATTCCCTTGATCCTGTGGCCAAATTTAATATCACCACTGGTGGGACAATCAGACATTTATGACCATCAATGTGATGCAATGTTAAGTGTACGACATCACCTATGATTTTAACTTTGACAAAAATGTTTAACTTGAATTTAATATAACCTTTAGATTTGACTGCCAGATTACAGAGATTACTGGAGATGAAGAAACAAATAAAACATCACCACAAGAAAGGGATCAAACAGCATAAGATCTTCTAAAGGACAACTGGGAGGACTTCAGCAAGTCAGGGTGTCATGATAAAAGGTACTTTCAAAGAATAGAAGAGACTCACGGGATTTAACAAAATGTACTCAGACTGGATCTTGGTTCAGATTAAACCACCTGAAAAGGGAAAAATAGGAGAAATTTAAATATGGAGTGAGTATTACATGATACTAATAAACTAATAATTTTGTCAGGTGATATCATGTCATTTTGGCTATGTAAGGTGTTTTCAAGGAAGCATATTGATATATTGGGGCAAAATGTTTATTTTACACAAAATAGGTCATCATAGGCAATGCAATATATACATATGCATGAGCTTTAATATACAAACTATAAGCAGAATACTTATACTAAGGATAATTAGCATTTGGAAGACTATTCAAAAGCCCTTCAAGAGTAGCTTCAATTATCTCTATTTCCAGTCACCAAGCCTGCATTATGTACCGCCTGCATCTAAAATAAAAGTGAAAATTATTTTTAAAATAAATAAATAAATATGCCACTCATACCTAGGTTGTAGGAAAAGAGATATATAGAGTCTACCTACATTTAACTATTAGAAGTAGTTAACTATGTAACTACCAAAGGAACCTAATTGTGAACAAGCAATGTAGTTAATGTCAGTTTGAGTTAGAGTCTAACAAACTGCAAGAGCGGTAACTTCGGGCACTCGTGTAAACACTGTGTCGAAAGCAAAAACTCTCTGTGTTAGCTAAACAGGAAATTGTTCTCAAAGAGTTTACATTATGTAAAATAAAAGTAATATCTGGATATCTATTTTCAAACCAAAATTTAGTGCTTAGTTTAACTTTAACCAGTTTAATTCCCAATTCCTTGCCTTTTTCTTTTCTCTACAACAGTATCACACTCCTTAAAATAGATCTTTACTATCTTTTTAACATCAAAAGTATATTTATGTTAGTTCTTTGAAGCTAATCATAAAACATTTTAGACCTACAATTCCCACAAAGTGAAAAAACAAAGGTTGTTTCATAGGACTTCGGGTTCCATCTTATTAATTGATCATAAATCATTGCTTTCCCTTTACTTGCTAATTCTGAATAAGGGCAAGAAAAAAAAAATCTCAGGTTCTTTGTTCAAAAAAGCATTCCTGGTACTGAATCTTGTCACAGTAACTACCAGCTTTGTAGAAGCACAAAAGGAGAAAGAAGCTCCTTAATATTAGATTATTCAGGGCTTGACATTCTTGCTGAATAAGCAACATATTTCCAAAAAAATCAAAGGTCAGATGTCAAATCTTCCTGGCCAAGTGATGACCTGTTTTAAGATTCCCTAGTCACAACTTGTTAGAGCATCTGGCTTTCAATATTTCCTACGACTAACCCTTTATGCATGAAGTAATTCACACAAATAAACAATATATATTTGATGTTATTTTAATTTGGAACTAATTACATGATACTTCAATACAAATTTGCCCCCACTTTATGGAATAAGGCTACTCCTGACAAATTATCCAAACATTAAATATTTGTGGAGTATATATTTTAACTTCACCAGGAGTCCTTACTTAAAATAATAGCATCTACAATATACAATGGAAAACATTCTTTATGTAACAGCAAAAATAATTTATGCTAAGTTGTTGGTGCTTTTGGACAGCAACTTTATATTTCAATTTCTTTCATGTGCTCCTAAATCTATGTGTCTAAATAAGGTGGCACATAGATTTTAAGGCTCATTATTCCAGCTAAACAAGTGGAAATTTAAATGTATTGACATTTTGTATATAAAGGCTTGAGTCACATTCATAAATGAACTATTGTTTTATTTCTTCTTAGGACATTTGCAAAGTTAGGATTAAGGCCAACTGAAGAAAAGTTGATATATTTCCTCTAAGACAGTATCACTCATTTGTGTGCTTCCACCAGTGAAGGGTGGTGCTTTGAGACATTACAATGTCGCTGAACTTTCCTCCAGAGCTAAGAAAGAGCAGAAGTGGCTCACACACCACCCAATTATTCCTATTCTATTAAAAAATTGTTTCCCTATAGAGTACATTCTATTTACTAACATTTGCAGAAACATGTAGGAAAAATTAAATATGAAGCACTCTTTCAAGAAACACAGAAAAGAGGGTATCTCAGTCTGTCTGAGCTGCTATAACAAAATATTATAAACTGGATAACTTTAGGCCAGGCGCAGTGGCTCGAACCTGTAATCCCAGCACTTTGGGAGGCTGAGGTGGGCCGATCACCTGAGGTCAGGAGTTCGAGACCAGCCTGCCCAACATGGCAAAACCCTGTCTCTATTAAAAATACAAAAATTAGCTAGGCATGGTGGTGCATACCTATAGTCCCAGCTACTTGGGGGGCTGAGGCAGGAGAATCGCTTGAACCCAGGCGGCGGAGGTTGCAGTGAGCTGAGATGGCACTGCTGCACTCCAGCTTGGGTGACAGAGCAAGACTCCATTTCAAAATAAACAAATAGGATAACTTATAAACAACAAACACTTACTTCTCACAGTTCTGGAGGCTGGAAGGTTCAAGATTAAGGTGCTAGCAGATTTGGTATCTGGTGAGGGCTTGCTTCCCTTCATGAGGGCTCGGTGATCAAGACTTAATCATCTTCTAAAAGACCCCAACTCTTAATACCATCACTTTGGGGGTTAGGATTTCAACACAGGAACTTTAGGGGACACAAATATTTAGTCTGTAACAGTAGACAAAGTCTTTCAACATCACCAGCTTCAAGGTAGATACCAGACTTTGTGATCAATTTAAATATCTTTTAGGCCCTTCCTTCCTCCTGTTTTAATCTATTTCAACAAGACTTCTTCCTTTTGGCAGCTGACGATGTTAACTGCACTCTTGCCTAAATTGCTTTAAGCACTAACATCTTGTATTTAACTAGCTTATAATCCTTAGGAACCTCAAGCCCCCACCCAGTGTTTGCCTTGAGAAAATAATTCTCCCTGGAGAGAGATTCTTTATTATTATTATTATTATTATTATACTATAAGTTCTGGGGTACATGTGCAGAACATGCAGTTTTGTTACATAGGTATATGCGTGCCATGGTGGTTTGCTGCACCCATCAACCCATCACCTACATTAGCTATTTCCCCTAATTCTATCCCTCTCCTAGCCCCGCACCCGCTGACAGGCCCTGGTGTGTGATGTTCCCCTCCCTGTGTCCATGTGTTTTCATTGTTCAACTCCCACTTATGAGTGAGAACACGCAGTGTTTGGTTTTCTGTTCTTGCGTTAGTTTGCTGGGAATGATGGTTTCCAGCTTCGTCCATGCCCCTGCAAAGGACATGAACTCATTCTTTTTTATGGCTGCATAGTATTCCATGGTGTATATGTGCCATGTTTTCTTTATCCAGTCTATCATTGTTGGACATTTAGGTTAGTTCCAAGTATTTGCTACTGGGAATAGTGCCACAATAAACATACGTGTGCATGTGTCTTTATAGTAGAATGATTTATAATCCTTTGGGTATATACCCAGTAATGGGATTGCTAGGTCAAATGGTATTTCTAGTTCTAGATCCTTGAGGAATCGCCACACTGTCTTCCACAATGGTTGAACTAATTTACACTATCACCAACAGTGTAAAAGCATTCCTATTTCTCCACATCCTCTCCAGCATCTATTGTTTCCTGACATTTTAATGATTGCCATTCTAACTGGCATGAGATGGTATCTCATTGTGGTTTTGATTTGCATTTCTCTAATGACCAGTGATGATAAGCTTTTTTTCATGTTTGTTGGCTGCATAAATGTCTTCTTTTGAGAAGTGTCTGTTCATATCCTTTGCCCACTTTTTGATGGGGTTGTTCATTTTTTTCTTGTAAATTTAAGTTCTTTGTAGATACTGGATATTAGCCCTTTGTCAGGTGGCTAAATTGCAAAAATTTTCTCCCATTCTGTAGGTTGCCTGTTCACTCTGATGATAGCTTCTTTTGCTGTGCAGAAGCTCTTGAGTTTAATTAGATCCCAGTTGTCAATTTTGGCTTTTGTTGCCATTGTTTTGGTGTTTTAGACATGAAGTCTTTGCCCATGCCTATGTCCGGAATGGTATTGCCTAGGTTTTCTGCTAGGATTTTTATGGTTTTAGGTCTTACATGTAAGTCTTTAATCCATCTTGAGTTGATTTTTGTAGAAGGTGTAAGGAAGGGGTCCAGTTTCAGTCTTCTGCATGTGGCTAGCCAGTTTTCCCAACATCATTTATTAAATAGGGAATCCTTTCCCCATTGCTTGTTTTTGTCAGGTTTATCAAAGATCAGATGGTTGTAGATGTGTGGTGTTATTTCTGAGGTGTCTGTTTTGTTGCATTGGTCTATATATTGGTTTTGGTACCAGTACCATGCTGTTTTGGTTACTGTAGCCTTGTAGTATAGTTTGAAGTCAGGTAGTGTGATGCCTTCAGGTTTGTTCTTTTTGCTTAGGATTGTCTTGGCTATGCAGGCTCTTTTTTGGTTCCATATGAAGTTTTAAAGTAGTTTTTTCCAATTCTATGAAGAAAGTCAATAGTAGCGTGATGGGGATAGCACTGAATCTATAAATTATTTTGGGCAGTATGGCTATTTTCACGATATTGATTCTTCCTATCCATGAGCATGGAATGTTTTTCCATTTATTTGCATTCTCTCTTATTTCCTTGAGCAGTGGTTTGTAGTTCTCCTTGAAGAGGTCCTTTGCATCTCTTGTAAGTTTTATTCCTAGGTATTTTACTCTCTTTGTAGCAATTGTGAATGGGAGTTCACTCATGATTTGGCTCTCTGTTTGCTTGTCATTGGTGTATAGGAATGCTTGTGATTTTTGCATATTTATTTTGTATCCTGAGATTTTGCTGAAGTTGCTTATCAGCTTAGGTAGATTTCGGGTTGAGACGGTGGGGTTTTCTAAATATACAATCATGTCATCTGAAACAGGGACAATTTGACTTCCTCTTTTCCTACTTGAATACCCTTTATTTCTTTCTCTTGTGTGATTGCCTTAGCCAGAACTTCCAATACTATGTTGAATAGGAGTGGTGAGAGAGGGCATCCTTGTCTTGTGCCGGTCTACAATGGGAATGCTTCCAGCTTTTGCCCATTCAGTATGATATTGGCTGTGGGTTTGTCATAAATAGCTCTTATTATTTTGAGATACATTCCATCAATACCTAGTTTATTGAGAGTGGTTAGCATGAAGGGCTGTTGAATTTTCTCAAAGGCCTTTCCTGTAACTATTGAGATAATCATGTGGTTTTTGTCATTGGTTCTGTTTATGTGATGGATTATGTTTATTGATTTGTGTATGTCAAAACAGCCTTCCATCCCTGGGATGAAGCCAACTTGATCTTGGTGGATAAGTTTTTTGATGTGCTGCCAGGTTCAGTTTGCCAGTATTTTACTGAGGATTTTCGCATTGATGTTCATCAAGGATATTGGTCTGAAATTTTCTTTTTTTGTCGTGTCTCTGCCAGGTTTTGGTGTCAGGATGAGCTGGTCTCATAAAATGAGTTAGGGAGGATTCCCTCTTTTTCTATTGTTTGGAATAGTTTCAGAAGGAATGGTACCAGCTCCTCTTTGTACTTCTGGTAGAATTCGGCTGTGAATCTGTCTGGTCCTGGACTTTTTTTGGTTGGTAAGCTATTAATTACTGCCTCAATTTCAGAACTTGTTATTGGTCTATTCAGGGATTCGACTTCTTCCTGGTTTAGACTTGAGAGGGTGTACTGTCCAGGAATTTATCCATTTCTTCTCGTTTATTTGCGTAGAGGTATTTATAGTATTCTCTGATGGTAGTTTGTATTTCTATGGGATCAGTGGCGATATCCCCTTTATCATTTTTTATTATTTCTATTTGATTCTTCTCTCTTTTCTTCTTTATTAGTCTGGTTAGCAGTCTATCTATTTTGTTCATCTTTTCAAAAAAAAAAAACAGCTCCTGGATTCATTGATTTTTTTGAAGGGTTTTTTGTGTCTCTACCTCCTTCAGTTCTGCTCTGATCTTAGTTATTTCTTGTCTTCTGCTAGCTTTTGAATTTGTTTGTTCTTGCTTCTCTAGTTCTTTTAATTTTGATGTTAGGGTGTCAATTTTAGATCTTTCCTGCTTTCTCTTGTGGTCATTTAATGCTATTAATTTCCCTCTACACACTGCTTTGAATGTGTCCCAGAGATTCTGGTACACTGTGTCTTTGTTCTCATTGGTTTTGAAAAACATCTTTATTTCTGCCTTCATTTTGTTATTTACCCAGTAGTCGTTCAGGAGCAGGTTTTTCAGTTTCCACGTAATTGTGCGGTTTTGGGTGAGTTTCTTAATCCTGAGTTCTAATTTGATTGTACTGTCATCTGAGAGACTGTTTGTTATGATTTCCATTCTTTTGCATTTGTTGAGGAGTGTTTTACTTCCAATTATGTGGTCAAATTTAGAATAAGTGTGATGAGTTGCTGAGAAGAATGTATATTCTGTTGATTTGGGGTGGAGAGTTCTGTAGATGTCAATTAGGTCAGCTTGGTACAAAGCTGAGTTCAAGTCCTGAACATCCTTGTTAATTTTCTGTCACATTGATCTATCTAATATTGACAGTGGGTTGCTGAAGTCCCCCACTATTATTGTGTGGGAGTCTAAGTCTCTTTGTAGGTCTCTAAGAACTTGTTTTATGAGTCTGGGTGCTCCTGTATTGGGTGCATATATATTTAGGAGAGTTAGCTCTTCTTGTTGCATTGATCCCTTGACCATTATGTAATCCCCTTCTTTGTCTTTTTTGATCTTTGTTGGTTTAAAGTCTGTTTTATCAGAGATTAGGATTGCAAGTGTTGATTTTTGTTTGTTTGTTTGTTTTTCTTTCCATTTACTTGGTAAAAATTCCTCCATCCCTTTATTTTGAGCCTACGTGTGTCTTTGCATGTGAGATGTGTCTCCTGAATACAGCACAGCAATGGGTCTTGACTCTTTATCCAATTTGCTAGTCTGTGTCTTTTAATTGGGGCATTTAGCCTGTTTACATTTAAGGTTAATATTGTTATGTGTGAATTTGATCCTGTCATTATGATGCTAGCTGGTTATTTTGCCCATTAGTTGTTCCAGTTTCTTCATAACATCGATGGTCTTTACAATTTGGTGTGTTTTTGCAGTGGCTGGTACCGGTTGTTCCTTTCCATGATTAGTGCTTCCTTCAGGAGCTCTTGTAAGGCAGGCCTGATGGTGACAAAATCTCTCAGCATTTGCTTTTCTGTAAAGGATTTGATTTCTCCTTCTTTTATGAAACTTAGTTTGGCTGGATATGAAATTCTGGGTTGAAAATTCTTTTAAGAATGTTGAATATCGGCCCCCACTGTCTTCTGTCTTGTAGGGTTTCTGCAGAGAGATCTGCTGTTAGTCTGATGGGCTTCCCTTTGTGGGTAACCCAACCTTTCTCTCTGGAAGCCCTTAACATTTTTTCTTCCATTTCAACCTTGGTGAATCTGACAATTATGTGTCTTGGGGTTACTATTCTCGAGGAGCATCTTTGTGGTGTTCTCTGTATTTCCTGAATTTGAATGTTGGCCTGCCTTGCTAGGTTGAGGAAGTTCTCCTGGATAATATCCTGAAGAGTGTTTTCCAACTTGGTTCCATTCTCCCTTTCACTTTCAAGTACACCAATCAGATGTAGATTTGGTGTTTTCACATAGTCCCATATTTCTTGGAGACTTTGTTCATTCCATTTCATTCTTTTTTCTCTAAACTTGTCTTCTCACTTTACCTTATTAAGTTGATCTTCAATCTCTGATATCCTTTCTTCCACTTGATCAATTCAGCTATTGATACTTATGTATGCTTCACAAAGTTCTCGTGCTGTGTTTTTCAGCTCTGTCAGGTTATTTATGTTCTTCTCTAAACTGGTTATTCTAGGTAGCAATTCATCTCATTTGTTTTTGAAGGTTCTTAGGTTCTTCCTATGCAAGGTTCTTTCTTGCATTGTGTTAAACATGCTCCTTTAGCTCAGAGCAGTTTGTTATTACCCACCTTCTGAAGCCTGCTTCTGTCAATTTGTCAAACTCTTTCTCCATTCAGTTTTCTTCCCTTGCTGGCGAGGAGTTGTAATCCTTTGGAGGAGAAGAGTCATTCTGGTTTTTGGAATTTTCAGCCTTCATTGGTTTCTCCCCATCTTCGTGAATTTATCTACCTTTGGTCTTTGATGTTGGTGACCTTTGGATGATGTCTCTGAGTGGATGTGCTATTCCTTTCTTTTTGTTAGTTTTCCTTCTACCTTCTAACAGTCAGGACCCTCTGCTGCAGGTCTGCTGGAGTTTGTGGGAGGTCCACTCCAGACCCTGTTTGCCTGGGTATTACCAGTGAAGGCTGCAGAACAGCAAAGATTGCTGCCTATTCTTTCCTCTGGAAGCTTCGTCCCAGAGGGGCACCTGCCAGATGCCAGCCAGAGCTCTCCTGTATGAGGTGTCCTTCAGACCCTACTGGGAGGTGTCTCCCAGCCAGGATACATGGGGGTCAGGGACCCACTTGAGGAGGCAGTCTGACCCTTAGCCGAGCTTGAGCACTGTGCTGGGAGATCCACTGCTCTCTTCAGAGCCAGCAGGCAGGAACATTTAAGAATGCTGAAGCTGCACCCACAGCCGCCCCTTCCCCCAGGTGCTCTGTCCCAGGGAGATGGGGGTTTTATCTATAAGCCCCTGACTGGGGCTGCTGCCCTATTTTTCAGAGATGCCTTGCCCAGAGAGGAGGAATCTAGAGAGGCAGTCTGGCCACAGCTGCCTTGCTGAGTTGCGGTGGGCTCCACCCAGTTCCAACTTCCTGGATGCTTTGTTTACACTGTGAGGGTAAAACCGCCTACTCAAGCCTCAGCAATGGCAGATGCCCCTCCCCACACCAAGCTCAAGTGTCCCAGGTCGACCTCAGACTGCTAGGTTGGCAGCGAGAATTTCAGTCCATGTTAGCTTGCTGGGCTGTGTTGGGGTGGGACCCACCGAGCCAGACCACTTGGCTCCCTGGCTTCGGCTCCCTTTCCAGGAGAGTGAATGGTTCTGTCTCGCTGGTGTTCTAGGTGCCACTGGGGTATGGAATAAAAAACTCCTGCAGCTAGCTTGGTATCTCCCAAATGGCCGTGCAGTTTTGTGCTTGAAACCCAGGGCCCTGATGGCATAGACACTGGAGGGAATCTCCTGGTCTGTGGTTTGCAAAGACCATGAGAAAAGTGCAGTATCTGGGCTGGGGTACACTGTTCCTCAGGCACAGTCCTTTACGGATTCCCTTGGGTAGGGGAGAGAATTCCCAGACCCCTTGCGCTTCCTGGGTGAAGCAACGCCCCACCTTGCTTCAGCTCACCCTCCGTGGGCTGCACACACTGTCCAACCAGTCCCAATGAGTTGAACCAGGTACCTCAGTCCAAAATGCAGAAATCACCCACCTTCTGTGTCGATCTTGCTGGGAGCTGCAGACCAGATCTGTTCCTGTTTGGCCCTCTTGCCCAGGAGGCTGATAACCCAAGAGATTCTTTCCTGAGTCCTCTTCACTCACAAATTGTAAAGAATTGTATACCTACATGATAGGTTTACAAACATACCTGTCTTTTTTTTCTAATTAGTAGATAATTATCTTATTCACTCTATTCCTTATCACATATTCACATTTTATTCACATATTCATTCCATTCTTTATCAGTTCAGTACTTCATTTTCACCAAATAGTTTTTGGCTTTCCATAGAAAAGTTAAGTTTTCGAGGACTCAAATATTTCTTTTTATTTTGTCATGTGTGTGCAAAGTGTGTGTGCATGTATGTGTATGTGCACACTACTTCAAAGTAGATTGAGGAAGAGAGTATGTATATGCTTTTTATCATAATATTTTAATTATAAAATTTATATACTTCCACCTGGAACTATAAAAATCCTGGAAGAAAACCTAAGGAAAACTCTTCTGGACATTGGTCTACTCAAAGAATTCATGATTAAGACCTCAAAAGTGCAAGCAACAAAAACAAAAATAAACAAATGGGACTTAATTAAACTCAAAGGCTTCTGCACAGCAAAAGAAACAATCAATAGAGTGAACAGACAACCTGTAGGATAGGAGAAAATATTTGCAAACTATATGTCTGAAAGAGGGCTAATATCCAGAATTTACAAGGAGCTCAAACAGCTCAACAACAACAATAACAAAACAACCCCATTAAAAAGTGGGCAAAGGACATGAACAGACATTTCTCAAAAGATATACACATGGCCAACAAGCTTATTGTTAAAATGCTTAATATTACTTATCATCAAAAAAATGCAAATTAAAACTACAATGAGATATCATCTTACACAAGCCAGGATGGCTATTATAAAAAGTCAAAAAACAACAGATGTGGGTGAGGGTGTGGAGAAAAGGGAATGCTTATACACTGTTGATGAGAGTGTAAATAAGTACAACCTCTCTGGAAAATAGCATGGAAATTTCTCAAAGAACTAAAAGTTGAATTACCATTTGATCCAGCAATCCCACTACCGGGTATCTACCCAAAGAAAAAGAAATCTTTATCTTGAAAAGATATCTGTACTCATGTTTATTGCAGCATGGTTCACAGTAACAAAGACTTAGAATCAACCTAAGTATCTGTCAATGGATGAGTAGAGAAACTGTGGTATATGTACATACAATGAATGACTAGTCAACCATAAAAAAGAATGAAATCATCTTTTTCAGTAGCATGGATAGAACTGGAGGCCATTATATTAAGTGAAATAACTCAGAAACAGAAAGTCAAATACTACATGTTCTCACTTACAAATGGTAGCAATGTAACATGTACACATGGACATAGAGTGTGGAGTAAGAGACACTGGAGACTCAGAAGGATGGGAAGGTGGGAGGGGAGTGAGGGATGAAAAGTGGCTTAATAGGTGCGATGTACATTATTCAGAAGATGGTCACACTAAAAGCCCCAGACTTCACCATTATCCAAAATATCCATGTAACAAAACTGCACTTGTGCCCTTAAATTTATACAAATAAAAAAAGTTTTAGATGTACATACTTCTGATAGAAAGTAGATACAAAATCACCCATTATTTCATAATCAAAGAGTAATAAAATTACAATGTATGTCTTCTCAATATGTTTTTATATATGCATTTTTAACTTAATTTGTTTTAAAATTTTTACCAAAAAAGTCATATTATATAAATTTTAGCCTATTTTTCCCTTAGTAGTACATTATAATATTTTCACATATCAAAAAATATTATTCTATAATATGATTTTAAAGGAATCATAGTAATAATGGTGTTTTTAAGTAATTGAACAATATTCATCTTATGAGTAACTCCTTAGAGATAAAGCAACAGAAAGAATCCATAACAGCAAAAAGTGTAGTGAGCTTTTTATTTGTTTTTACATATCAAAGTAATTTTTGCCAAATGCCTACTGTTTGTCTTTTATGTACTGGGAAAACAAAGATAAGTTTTTAGAGCAGTTATAAGATAGGTAAGTTAGTCAAATATTATGTGATGGGTACTAAGACAGAGATAGTCCTACGCGGTACAGGAACACAGAGAAGAGGCCTCTAAGTAAGAATGAGAGTCACCTGTAAAGTGACACTAACTAAACTATTGAAGGACAAGGGGATTGGGAATTGCAGAACAAACAGCATAAGTAAAAGGACTGCCTAGAAACAGTCAATCATTAATTCACAAACTGGCTTGATCATAAAAATCAGTAGAGACTGCCAGGCACAGTGGCTCACGCCTGTAATCCTTGCACTTTGGGAGGCCGAGGCGGGTGGATCACCTGAGGTCAGGAGTTTGATACCAGCCTGGCCAACATGATGAAACTCTGTCTCTACTAAAAATACAAAAAATTAGCCGGGCGTGGTGGCGGGCACTTGTAATCCCAGCTACTCAGGAGGCTGAGACAGGAGAATCACTTGAACCCAGGAGGTGGAGGTTGCAGTGAGCTGAGATCACGCCCCTGCACTCCAGCCTGGGCAACAAGAGCAAAACTCTGTCTCAAAAAAAAAAAAAAAAATCAGTAGAGACATAAGCCCCACTCCTGGAGATTCCAATTTAATATGTTTAGGGTCAGGCCAAGAATCTGCATGTTTAATATGTCCCCAGAAATTCTTACATTCAGTCAAGGTTAAAAAACAATTCTAGTCCCTCCAACTGGAAACCTGCTTGTTTTACAATATAGCAGTAAGGAAGTAGCCATCCCTGAAGCTTGGAAAGTGGCCAAAGACAGAATGTGTGGGTTAAGCCTTGAAGTTTATCCTGAAAGATAAAGGACTGAATCTGAGTTTGCAGAGCAGATTAGCATTTTAGAAGGATCACTCTGTAAGAAACGGAGTATGATGTGTAAGGAAACCTTTTGAGGAGGCTAATGTAGCAATTTAGGTGAGAAGTCATTAAGACCTTAATTTAAAAAGTGGTTATGAGTTTAGGAAAGAGGAGAACAAGAGATACCAAGGAATTAAAAGCCACAGGGATTAGGGATTGATTGAGTATAAGTGAGAGTGACCTAGGAAGACTCCCAGGGAAGTGGATTGGGTGACTGGATAAGAGATATGCCATTTATGAAAATGTGGCATTCAAGTAAAGCGCAGGTTTGAAATACATAAGTTCACTTTTAGATATACTGAATTTTATTGGAAATTCAATCGTAGGTTCCATCGCAAACTCAAAACGAAGATTTGGCAGGAGGAAGTTTGTAATATAACAGTGATCGAAGTTGAACCCATGAGGAAGATAACACTTACTGTTTAAGCAGAAAAAAAGGGAACCTACAATGGAGACTAAAAAGAATTATCTTTTTTCTTTTTAAGGAAAGAATAATGCCACAGAAAACAAAGGAGAAGGACTCCAGAAGGAGAACTGCTACCGATAAATCAAACAAAATAAGGACAAAGCAAAGTTCCCTGAACTGTGCCTTATGGAATTCAATGGTGCAGGTATCAGGAGCATCTCCTCTGCACATGTTTCTGGTGGGCTTGGCCAATCAAATGTTTCCTTCCTAGGAGCTAAATCTTAAGTGGTGACACAAGGAGGAAAGGTAGTTGAACCTTAGTAAACATACATGATTATGCATGTCCACGGTTTCATTTCAGTGGTCCTGTACTTTCTGCCCTCAGGAAGCTTGACTGTTTAGTATTTTCTTCTGTTCTGCATTATACCAGTATATTTCCAATGAATATCATTTTTTCCATAAGTTGTTCTCAATTTGTTTCTTTGGCTTATAATTAGAGACCCAAAACTGCCAAGGTAATTTTACTTTTGCTTTCATTTTCAATAAGACAAACCACTGTTCTGTTTATTTTCTGAAGTAAAACAGGAAAGAGGGCGATGATTGATATAATAAAGTCATTGAGTACACAGAAGAGGATGGAATCCAATCTACAGGTTGAGAAATGAGCCTCGAGTTAGATGGGCACCTTTTCCAACAGGAAGGAGAAGTAAAAATGCCAATAAATAAGCGAATAAGTAAGAGGGAGAGGAAGGTGCCGTTTTCACTTTCTGCCCTTGCCTTTTCACAATGAAAAGGACAGAATCATCATTTGCTGAGTGTAAGAAGAGTTGGTGGTTTTGACAGTAAGGGAAGTAAATGTTTGGAATACCCACTGTCAGTTGATCAGAAGCACCTTCACCATAACTGAGGACTCAGCCTTGGTCAGAAAGCAACAACATACAGTGACATCAATTGGTATGGCTGTGTGATTTTTCTCCAAGAACTCTCAGCTGCTCAGTTCCAGAGTCAGAGAAACAGGATGGCTGGATTAAGAGTTGAAAGTAATATTGAAAGCATAATTTAAGTAGTGGACACCAGTGTGTGGAGCTGAACAGGGAAAATGGGAAGACAGAAGGAGACTAATTGATTAGGAGAAAATGGAGGGCTCAAAGCATATGGGGTCATGAGGTCAAAGGGCAGGCATAGTTCATATAAGGACCAGAAAGTTACCAAAAACAAATGGTGAGGAAAAGCAGATGTCTTGTCTAAACATGAAGCCTGTATCTGAATCTCCCTATGGATGGAGGGTTCACGTTTATCTACCTTCAGACTGCTCTACTCGGCTATCAGTCAGTCTTTCTTAGGATTCCTAATTTGTTTTTCTGACTTTCGCCCACAAG
Source organism: Homo sapiens (assembly GCF_000001405.40). Classification (NCBI taxonomy): domain Eukaryota; kingdom Metazoa; phylum Chordata; class Mammalia; order Primates; family Hominidae; genus Homo; species Homo sapiens. The sequence goes on along the minus strand of NC_000005.10, from coordinate 99,032,680 downwards.
CTGGATGACCACTTGGTGGAGCTCCTGCAAAGAGAATGTCAGCCCATTGGTTAACAAGATACCCTGAAAAACGAGATTCCATAAAATTATGCAGTTCACTGTAGCCTAGTCCAGTAAATGGTGGACTGATTGAGAAATACTTTTTTAAAAAAATGTTGTGAGCTACCCTTTCCCTATTGCTTCCAACAGAATGACAGCTGATTCTGGTACTTGGAGCAACCAAAATTTCGGAAGGTTCTTTGATCTTAATGCAGCAATGAGTGTTCCCTCTACTGCTAGCCTAAGCCTAATCTAGTCCTTCATCAGTTGTAGAAATATAATATCTTTAAGAAAGGATAGGAAAAAGAGTCCATAATTAAGACACTGTTCCTTTAGGCCTAGCCTATTAATAATACCTTTAATCTACTTTACCTCGCGGGTTTAAAAATAATTCTGCCTGTTGCTTAGTGCCACCCATACTGCTGATGATGAACAATGATCTGTTGCATAAATTGCCACCTACCTTTTATTCTGTAGCAGCCATTCATTACAACTCTAAGGCCAGTAATTACCAGTGATGAAAGTGGCATTATCTGCCGTGACTTTCTGTTTGGTTTTACTTTGAAAGTGCCTTAGCTGGTTACCTTACTTGGATAGTGTAGACCGTTCGAGTGCCATAGACAACTTATTCTCCTATCCCTGGCATAGTCCCCCAAACAGTGCCTTCATTACTGCAAGGAGAGAGTGTGGCTTAATTACACTATATTCATCTCTATGACAAGCCAGACAACTCAAACCATAAGGTTTCATTACATGGTTCTTATAGTTTCATCACGGTTTATGACCAAGAGCACATACTTTCTAATGCAGTGTGAGAAAATCAAGATGTAGTTAGATTAATTAATTTGCAGCAAAATACTATCTGGAACATCAGGAAGACTGGCAGGTGCTTCCAGTTCAACTCCATGTCATAGATCAAATTATAAAATTTCAATAAGCAGTTTCTCTTCTTTTAATTGACAGATATAATGGTTACTTTTAGCTGTCATAGAATTGAATAAAAATCTGAGATAATAAGATAATAGGATGTTGACATGTTTTTAGGTGGCAAAAATAAACCTTAATATTGTGTCATCAATTTCTTCTTCTCTGCACCTATAATTATGCAGGCTGTGTGGATTTCATTCTTTTCATACTGATAGTGTTATACTATATTTGGTCACATTCCCCCTAAGATGATGAGGCTAGATTATAGATCTGGAGCAAACTTTTGCCCTTGGATTGTTGACAGGCACTGCAACTTAATTAAGTTGACATTTCTAGCATAAATTCCCAGAGATAGAAGACACCTCAGAGAATCTTTTATCTAACCTTCTGCCCACTATAGGAAATCTCTCCACAGCACACCCAACAAGTTGCTTTTCCAGTCTTCCTTGATTTCATCAGCATCCCAAATTATTCACTGGGTGTTTACTCATGGTTCTGCTTTCTTCTAGGAAACATACATACACAGAGTCAAATTTTCTACTATCAGAGAGGACAAAAGGGAAATGAGTTGTCTGACAGAGAGAAATGGGCAAGGACAAAGGGAAAATCATTAGTGGAAAGAAAAAGTAGCATTAAAGGGCAGTATGATGAGAAACAGGAAGAAGAGATGTATGCAGTTTAAGCAGAGCAATCACTTTCACTAAGCCCTTTTCATTCTCTTGCAATACTCTCAGGAATTACAGATTGGAAGGCACTGCACTGGTGTGGAAGTAGGCTGAGAAGAAACATGGGTTGGACACAGTGGCTCATTCCTATAATCCCAGCACTTTGGGAGGCCAGGGTGGGAGGATCACTGGAACCCAGGAGTCTGAGACTGACCCTGGCAACATAGCAAGACCCTATCTCTACAAAAAATTTAAAAGTTAGCCAGGCGCGGTGGCACATGCCCATAGTCCCAGCTTCTCAGAAGGCTGAAGTGGCAAGATCACTTGAGCCCAGGAAGATGAGGCTGCACTGAGCCATGACTGCACCACTACACTTCAGCCTGGACAACAGAGTGAGACCTGTCTCAAAAAAAGAAAGAAAAGAGAGAAGAGAAGAGAAAAAGAGAAGAGGAGAAGGAAGGGGAAGGGAAGAAACATGGACTGGAGAGAAGTGTCAATGTCATTATCAGAGCCTACACTGGCATTAATGTGACCAGTACTGTGTCTTTGTTTGGGGGTTAAGAAAGAAGGTCTACTTAGGTCAGTACCTAAGAAAGATGCATTCCTCTATTTGTAATGCTCACTTCTAATCTGTCACCTACCTGACCCACTAACTGTGGACCCACTAACTCTATTAACAGTAGGTATAATTGTATTAGTATAGATCTCTTTTTAAAAAGATGAAACAAGGGCTTATGTGCAAGGGATTATTTTGGGAAATGATCCCAAGTTTTAAGAAGTGAAGGGACTGGAGAGAGTAAAATAGGGAAGAAAGGAAAGCAGTATCAGGGGAAGAAGGTCTCAAGTTGAACATGACCACAGATCATGATCCATTGAGAATCCTCTAAAGATCCACACAGAATGAGCCTCAGAATTCTGCAAACAAGGGACAGAAGAAGGTGGCATTTATCCACTGGGTCTGTCCCTGATAGGTCACGATTTGCCTTAATGACATTAACCTCTTGTATACAATGTGTGAGGCAGATCTGTTACCTACCACAGACACCCCAGTTGCCCTGTAGAGTTAGCAATGGGGCAGAAATTAAGAAAAGCCAAGTGTGGCCTGGCACAGTGGCTCACACCTATAATCCCAGCACTTTGGGAGGCCGAAGCGGGCAGATCACTTGAGTTCAGGAGCTTGACACCAGCCTGGCCAACATGGTGAAACCCCCGTCTCTACTACAAATAAAAAATTAGCTGGGCATGGTGGCAGGCACCTACAATCCCAGCTACTTGGGAGGCTAAGGGGGGAGAATCACTTGAACCCATGAGGCTGAGTGCACTCTAGCATGGGCGGCACAGCAAGACTCCACCTCAAAAAAAAAAAAAAGAAAAAAGAAAAGAAAAGAAGAGAAAACGCAAGTGTAGGTTGAATAATGGACACTTCCACATTAAAGAAGACTAAAAAGATCTAAGAAGTAAATGCTATGTGTGATCCTGTTCAATTCTGAACCAGAAAAAAGTCATAATTCATAAAAGACATGATTAGAAAAATTTGCAAACTTGTATTAGGTGTATTGATTCAAATATTATATCAATGTCAAATTTCCTAGGTTTGATCATTTTACTACAGTACATAGATGAATATGCTGGTTCTTAAGAAATACACACTGACGTATTTAGGAGTAAAGGAGCATGACATCTGCAAGTCACTTTCAAATGGTCCTGTATATATGGGGGCAGGGTGGGAGAGAGAAATCAAATGTGGTAAAATGTTAACATTAGTGAATCTGTGTGAAGTATATGGGTGATCTCTGCACTATTCTTGCATCTTTTCTATAAGTTTGAAAATATTTGAAAGTAAAAAGTTTAAAAACTGTAAGCTCTGGACCAAAGGGAATTATAGCAAGGGTTCAAAAGACCTGAGCTTTAGTCCAAAGTCATTGATGCTTGTTGTTTCTGTTTTCTCATCCAGAAACTTTATAGAATTACTGTAAGAACTAAATAAAGTGATTTATGTAAAAGACGTTTGAAAGGTTTAAAATAACATACAATTGTGTAGTATTGTTAGAAATGGGAGTCTGACATTTGAAGACGGCTTAATAGGGTGTTAGATCATGTATCAGCTAAGCAGTGACAGACATATACAGAGAAACAGAAGAATGTGTGGGTTTATAACTTGAAAGTAGAGAGCATTTTAGGTCATTTTCAGCTACTAACTCCTTATTCCAAATTGGTACCCTGTAACAAACTTTAATTATCTACTGTATACTAGACAATATGTATATTGTAAGAATTGCAAGGATGAATGATTCATATTCTCAAGGAATTTAGAGTCTATTAGAGGATAAAACTACAAAACTAAAAATCAATCATATGATCTGTTAAGAAATGACTACAGAAACAAAAGTAAGAAAGCAGCAAATGTGAGGTTTGAGGATAGAGACAGAAGAATTTCTGACAGGAAGTAATTTTTGAATTGAGCCTTGATGAATGAGAATATCACTTAGAAATAAGAAAAGGAGGACCAGGTGCAGTGGCTCATGCCTGTAATCCCAGCACTTTGGGAGGTTGAAGCAGGCAGATCACCTGAGGTCAGGAGTTCGAGACTAGCCTGGTCAACATGGCAAAATCCTATCGCTACTAACAATACAAAAAAATTAGTCATGCATGGTGGCGTGCACCTGTGGTCCCAGCTACTCGGAAGACTGAGGCACAAGAATCTTGAACCCCGGTGGCAGAGGTTGCAATGAGCCAAGATCGTGCCACTGCACTCTAGCCTGGGTGACAGAGTGAGACTCTGTCTAAAAAAAGAAATAAGAAAAGGGCATTTTAGGTAAAGAAAATGGCTGAGGAAGCTATAAAAATACCTTACATATTTAGTCTCTTTGCAGTTTTTTGCCTCCTGTGTGACAGCTTCCCCACATTACACTCCCTAACTAAATACCCATGAAGCCATAAGAATTCCCTCCATTTTTATTTCTTGTTTTGTCACCAACTTTGAAATTTGATAGTGTATTAAAATAATGGATGGTCCACCACAGTCATGAAGAATGAATAGAACCTCCTGATAAAAGTGGTTTTTGTGAGTTTTTTTAGGGATGGTTAATTTTTTAAAATCTGATTCTGGAATGCAAGAAGATTATAAAATGTTTTTAAATTTAAAAAAACAAACATCTGTATACCATGCTGTTCTCTTCTTTGCATTGGGATTTGGGTTATTTCATAGAGCATTTTAATTAATGGTGCAAATTAGTCTAATTACCAAATTAGTCTAAAGCTCTCAGAAGTGAGGTCAATGGATACACATGCTGTGGAAAGGCCAGACTTTTCATAAAGCCACAAAAACTATTTTTGGTACCCAGAAGATGACTTGGTTAGTATCAAAAACAGTAAGATCTACCTTCATTTAGGACATAAGTGAAAGACACTTCTGTGGTTAATAAATTTCACTGGCAGCAAGGGAGTAGAAGCCCCTAGGAGATACACTCCACTGCTTCTACAGAGAGGTAGAAGTGGAGTTTCAGTTTTAATTTTGCACTGTCTTTCTTTGAAATGATTCTAGCTTCTGCTTTTGAACAAACAGTAACAGTTTCTGATCCCTGTTTTACTGTCATTGAATATCAAATGGAGAACTTGTTTCTGAGACAGGAAATGCTAGTGAAACTCCTCGCTCCTGTCAGCACTTTCTAAGCAAAGTCAGGCACACTGCTTGCATTCTCTGTATTTGGAGATCTTCATCTTTACACGATGCTTATTGCAATCTGGAAGCTAAAATAATCCATACTCAGGCTTCAATAGCCTAAACTGTTTTTTTGTTTTTGTTTTTTGTTTCATTTTTGTTTTTTTTTTGTTTTTTTTTTTTTTTTTTGAGACAGAGTCTCGCTCTGTCACCCAGGCTGGAGTGCAGTGGCAGGATCTTGGCTCACTTCAACCTCCACCTCCTGGGTGAAGCAATTTTCCTGTCTCAGCCTCTCAAGTCCCAAGTAGCTGGGACTACAGGCATGTGCCACCATGCCCAGCTAATTTTTGTATTTTTAGTGGAGACAGGTTTTCACCATGTTGGCCAGGCTGGTCTCAAACTCCTGCACTCAAGTGATCTGCCCCCGTCAGCCTCCCAACGTGCTGGGATTACAGGTGTGGGCCACTGACCCAGGCCCAATAGCTTAATCTTCATATTTCACACCTGGAAAACTATAATTATAGTACTGCTGACTTTTTAAACTGGTACAAAGACTTATCTTAGGCAATGTCTAAAAAGTGCTCTAATCACCTTAGAAGAAAATTATGCACTCTACAAATCACAGACTTGGGAGGCTTTGTTAAAAGTAACCTGTTCCAACACTGCAATATATGAATCAAGAATCATTTGTATGATACAGTGAATTAAGATGGGTACTCTGGGCATTTTATTTTGAAAGGTCAACAAAATGCAACTTGTTAGAACAGTTTTAGCTCTGTAGCCTATGGCTACCAGTTTACGCTAAAATAAGTCTTTTATTATACACAGTGACAAATTCTTCCATCTCTTCAGCTCTTTTCACCAATGCAATGTATACTGAGTAGTATCTCCTTCAGTTAGTTTAGGCCATCTCTGGCTCTTCTGGAATATTCTGTCCCTCTCAGGGCTGCATTTGATATGCACTTTAAATGTATTTTGCCTATAATTTAAAAGATAGGATGGGGCTGGGCACTGTGGCTCACACCTGTAATCCCAACACTTTGGGTGGCCACAGAAGGCAGATCGCTTGAGGTCAGGAGTACGAAAACAACCTGGCCAAGATGGTGAAATCCCATCTCTAATAAAAATACAAAAATTAGTCAAGTATGGTGGCAGGCACTTGTAATCACAGCTACTTGGGAGGCTGTGGCACAAGAATCGCTTGAACCCGGGAGGAGGAGGTTTCAGAGAGCCGAGATTGCGCCACTGCCCTGCAGCCTGGGTAACAAAGGAAGACTCTGTCTCAAAATAAATAAATAAATAAGATAGCAGGATGGGTGCAGTGGCTCACACTTATAATTCCAGCACTTTGGGAGGCCAAGGGGAGAGGATCACCTGAGTTCAGGAGTTTAAGACCAGCCTGGACAACATGATAAGACCCCATCTCTGTAACAATTTTAAAAATTAGCCAAGAGTGGTGGCATAAGCCTGTGGTCCCAGCTACTCGGGAGGCTGAGGTGGAAGGATCACCTGAGCCCATGGGGTAGAGGCTGCTGTGTTTGCACCACTCACTCTAGCCTGGGCAACAGAGTGAGATCCTGTCTCAGTCAATCAGTCAGTAATAAATAAATATAAAATGATAGCAGCTGGTAGTCAGCAGAGGCGGCAAGGGAGATTTCCCAAAATAACGAAATTCTCAAGATTCTATCCTCAGGATAGATTCTGAAATCCTCAGAGAATTTGGAAATTCTCAAGAGGTAGTTTTGCTAACACACATCCACTTGTAATCCATATTGTCTTTTCTCCCTTGGGGTGCAAGGCGTTAATTAACAATATTTAACTTAAACAGACTCATAGTGCTACAACTAAGGGAATTCCTGAGCTACTTCCTGTTTCCAAGTCCCTGGCCAAGCCGCTCTTGAACTGCTCCACCCCCCAAAACAAACAAATTCTTTTAGTTAATATTTAAACTCTGTTCATTTGAGCTTTATTCCTTTGACCCTAATGCTTTAACTTCTGCTAAAATAAAAATGCTCTTTGTACTATTATTAATTATTTATGCTCTACTGTGATGGAAGAATCCAAACAATTTTGATAGGTGACTGCTTAAGCCTCTGAGAGTGAATTAACTGTATTGATCTCTTTGAGAATAAATTAACTATTATTGCTCATTGCTCATTTGCATGTATAAGCTCTGGACTGGATACGTTTTTTAAGACACTTAATATTTTAAGGCACTTAATTATTGTGAGACTTTATATATACATATATAAATATATACACATATATGTATGTATGTATTTTTAAGTCTCACAATAATTCTACCAAGTAGGCATTCTTTTTCTGAAATGGAGTCTGGCTCTGTCTCTCAGGCTGGAGTGCAGTGTCACCATCTCTGCTCACTGCAACCTCCTTCTCCCAGGTTAAAGTGATTCTCCTACCTCAGCCTCCCGAGTAGCTGGGATTACAGGTGCGTGCCACCACACCTAGCTAATTTTTGTATTTTTCATAGAGAGGGTTTCACCATGTTGGCCAGTCTGGTCTTGAACTCCTGACCTCAGGTGATCTGCCCACCTCGGCTTCCCTAAGTGCCGGGATTACAGTGTAAGCCACCGCGCCCGGCCCAAGTAGGCATTCTCTCTATCTTACGAAAGGGAAAACTGAGGTTCAGAAGTTGGGAAAGGTTTACACCACCTGTAAGTGACAGCCAGAAATTGAACTCATTTGTGTCTATCAGATGCCAAAGCAGGGGTCACAATTTTGCCTAGACTCAAAATGACATATGCAGGTTCTTATTTTAGATGGTAGCAGGAAGAGAGTAGATGGGTGAGAACCAGAGACCCAGGAGAAGACTGGGGCTGTGGTATAGGAAACACAAGAATAAAAGAAAATTGTGGCCAGGCACAGTGGCCATGCCTATGATCCCAGTGCTCAGGGAGGTCCAGATGGGAGGATCACTTGAAGCCAAAAGTGTGAGGCCAGCCTGGGCAACATAGTGAGGCTCTGTCTCTACAAAAAATTTAAAAACTTAGTTGGGCATGGTAGCATACCTGTAATCCCAGCCACACAGGAGGCTGAGATAGGAGGATTGCTTGAGCCCAGGAGTTCAAGGCTTCAGTGAGCTATGATCGGGCCACTGTACTCCAACATGGGTGACAGAGTGAGATCCTGTCTCTAAAAAAAATTAGTTAATCAATTAATTAATTAAAATGGAATGAGAGTAGCAAAACATGAGGAAAAGTACATCTACTCAGTTAAGAACATTTATTGAGTAACTACTTAGAAGACACTGTGCTAAATCCTGGCACAAATATACACAAAGATGTGTATATTAATATATAAATGCACACATCTTTGTGTGTATATAAAAATATATATTAATATATATTTGTTATTTAAGGTAAAATACATAGTTGCTCTTTAAAAAATGTAGACAACAAGCTGGACACAGTGGCATTAGCCTGTAGACCCCGCTATTAGGCTGAGGAAAAAGGATCATTTGAGGCCAGAAGTTTGAGGCTGAGGCTGTTGCATACTGTGATCATGCCTGTGAATAGCTATCATACTCCAGCCTGGGCAACATAGCAAGAACCCATCTCTGAATATAAAAATAAAAAGAGAAATGGTAGTGTACAATACAAACTATTTATTCTACATCTTGCTTTTCTTATTAATATTTGTTATGTTAGTAAATATAGCGCTATCTCCATTCATCCCAATGGCTACATAACATTCCATCATCATTACCATACGTCAGTATGTACCAACATGTATCAGTACCATAGGTTATTTAACCAGTTCCTTTTTCATGGACATTTAGGTCGTTTACAATATTTTAGCATTAGATATGTGTTGCAATGACTATCCTTATGCACATATGATTTTGCAAGTGCAAGCCTATTTATAGGGTAAATGTAGAGACATAGAATTGCTGAGTTGAAGAATATGTAATATGTATACATTTATTTTTGACATGCATTGCCAAAATGCTCTCCATAGAGTTATTCCCAACTCACATTCCCACCAGCAATATATGAGAGTTTCTATTTCCCCACACAACACCATTTGAATTTATCCAGTCTGTAGGTGGAATACAGTGTTTCTACAGTTTTTATTTGAATTGACAATATTTTAAATACAGAGTATTTCATTTTTTAAAGAAAAGGATTTCCAACTTCTCTTGAAAAATCTGAAATGTATCAACTCTGGATCCACTTTCCACAGCTGAATAGTGACTACTTTCCTTAGGCAAGGTATATGCAGTCAATATTGTCCTTCCTCCACACACACACACAATCTCATATTCATCCCTGACACTGAAGCCAAGAGCCAGTTGCTATTCATCATTTTCCAATGCAGCCCCATTTACTAATCTATATTACCTTACTGGCTTCAGATATTTGAATTTTCAGCCAGGCTGAAGATAAATTAATAATAAAAGAGAAAACAAATGAAACAAGAAGTAGAATAGATAGACAGAATATTGAGTGAATATGAAAGAAAGATATGTTAACATAGTTCATGAGTAACAAATTTAAGGCTCTTCTGGTCACCCATCCTCCTGGAATTTATCGGGTTATATCCACAAACTTAATACAACATTGAATAACTTTATGTCTCTGGCACAAACATGCCAGAGTAACATTTTGAGAATCTTGAGGATGACTCTGGTTGTGAATCTAATTTTAGCAATAACCTTGGCCCTGACCTTCTAGAAAGCAAATACCTTCTATATATTCAGGTACAGAAAGCATCACATTCCTTTATTTCCTTATATCAAATTAAATTTGGAGTTATGCCCACACTCACTATGGAATTAAAAACAGCAGATATTAGTTATCATGGGGAGGCAAGAGAGAAGGGTCTCCCTGGGGTGGATGAATGCTGCCCTGATAACTTGGAGAAGGACTCTAGTCTGTGCTTTATCATCTTCTAAACCTGTGATGTTCATAGAAGACCAGCAGCCCATTTCCTTCATGGCAATTATGAGCACTGGAAGCTTTCACCATGATTCTCAAAGCTACAGCATCCATGCACTTTCTGGAAGAGTCCTTCCTCCTACACCCTTGGCTCCACAAGGGGTAATGTGCACCCTCAGTCACCACACCACTGGGAAGCTACCTGGTGGAGATAAGCCACATTTATCTGTTCAACTCCAAAATCCAGTTTTGGTGCTTTCTTCCTCTGAGATAATCCAGTTTACTTTTCTCCTGTCTAACCAGACGCGGAAAGAGAAGTTCTAACTCAGGCCTTTAAAAACAAATTGCTGGCCACTCCTCTCTTGTTTGGGGAAAGGAGATGCTTTACTCTTCCCTTTTCAATTCACAGTGGGGAAAAAAACACCACTTTAGATTTTATTTTCTTAATAACATTTAGTATGCTACTTAAGAGGGAAAGTTCTGCAAATCCTGCTATTTAAGAGTAGATTAGAAAGCCAGGTGTGGTGCCTCATGCCTGTAATCCCAGCACTTTGGGAGGCTGAGGAGGGAGGATCATTTGGGCTAGGAGTGAGCAGCCTGGGCAACATAGCAAGACCTCATCTCTACTAAAAAATAAAAGAAATAGTTTTTAAATAAAGGGTGATTAGATCTACTCTAGATTGAACCATATAAGAGATTTGCTCCTAGATTAACCAGGCCAACCTAGAGAATAATTAAATTGCCATAAATGAACCCAACTATTAAAACGTCTCTGAGACTTTTTTCTACACAATTACTTATAGAAATACATCTGGTCTGGATCTGAGTCCCACCATCATAGGGTATTAGCCATGTACTAATCTCTTCCATGCTGACCTGCCATTTAACCCATTTTCTCCATGAATTTGAAATTATCTCTTTGGAGTACAAAGAGAGTTATATTTATTATCCTCAAGCTTTCAGTTGAAGGGAAGGATGGAGGAGGTGAGGGAGGACAGTTAGATTCAGGTTCAATTAAAATTTGAAAGCAGATATGAAAGTTAGACTAAATCATCATTCATACAGATTTACCTTCTTCCCCTACTGACAGACAGCCAAATAAATATGTATCTGAATACGTCTTCCTTTCTTGTAATAAACTTAGCTACAGGGAAATAATTACCATTGCAAAGAATAGAGATATATGAAGCAGTTTTCCTGCTTATATAAGATCTCAGCAATTAATCACAATCAGAAAATTTGCTTATTGTATTTTTCTCTCAATATTTTGTAACTTGTCTAATAAATCTGAAATGTTTAGCAGAGTGTCGTGCCATGCACCTGTAATCCCACCTATCTGGGGGGCTGAGGAGGAAGGATTGCTTGAGACCAGGAGTTCGAATACAGTTTTGACAACATAGCAAGACCCTGTTTCTAAACACTTAATAATAATACTCTGAAATTTTTTAGACAAAAATAAGGTATTTCCAGTCACTAAAAATATATAAAGTACTACATCTAAATGAGATTTAGTTATAAAACTAGTTGACTTTCCAAAGTCCCCTTCCTGTGACTGCTTCAGAGATGAATGCAGAGAGCAGGAATCCTGATTATTTCATGTGGGAGAAGGGTCAAGCCTCTATAAAAGCTCTGTACCTTGCCCTGTCAAGTGTGTGCTTGCCTCCAGAATTCAAACTTTGGAAATATAATTAAGTAATTAGGTTGGATTTGCACTGATAGAGTTTTTGTTTTGTCTTTGTTTTTCTTTATAGAAACAGGGTCTCATTCTGTCATGCAGACTGGAGTGGAGTGGCATGATCATAGCTCACTGCTGCCTGGAACTCCTGGGCTCAAGTGATCCTCTCACCTCAGCCTCCCAAGTAGCTGTGACTACAGGCAGGTGCCACCATGCCTGGCCCCTGACAGAAACTTTAAGAAGGCATTTAGTATTATGATGAGAGGCTTTTGCACTGATTTCATGCAAAATGGCAACAGATAATTTGTACAGAGTACAGTTTTCCAGAAATAAAGTTGTTCTTAAATGAGAATGATGTCATACTAAAGCCATATATCAAGGATAAGTGCCCAACATGTGGTCTGTGAAAAGGAAGCTCATTATAGGTTTTATGTGATGAGTCACCACAGTTACAGTCACTGGACAATGTCTTCAGTGTAAATTTTGAATAGACTTTCCAGTTCATGGAAATTTTTGGCACCTTTTATACATAAAACGTTGCAGATTTCTCCATGACCCAGTTTTTTGTTGTTGTGTTGTTTTGTTTTGTATGGATTCAGCCCAGAACTTCTAGAGAGAGCAGGGCTTCCCTCCACCATTCCATGCTGCTGCTTCCTGTGTTCTTTCTCTGTCTTTTTGACACCATTTGCTTTCTACCTCCCATGTATTCCTCATATCTTACCTGTTTAAAAGTGAAGTTAACGTTTTCATTACCAAAAACAAACAAAACCAAAGATAAAGCTTTCCAGTTACTTCAGTGAGAGCTTGCCAAGAGAGTAAGGGAGTTGCACGAGTTCAGTCCTACTTCTTGAACATTTTCAGTGGCTCTTCATCACCTACCTGTATTTTTTAAAATTAATTTCCTCAGCCTAGTATTCAAAGTTCTTTATGCCCCACCCTAGTAGCTCACTCTAAACTTAATCCTATTACTCTCAAATCATTGCTATATAAGAAGTTTCTGGCCAGGTGCAGTGGTTCATGCCTATAATCCCAGCACTTTGGGAAGCCAAGGCACGCTGTTCACTTCAGGCCAGGAGTTTTGAGACCAGCCTGGCCAAGATAATAAAATCCCATCTCTAAAAAAAAAAAAAAGTAAAAATAAAATATTATGGGTTCAATTGTATCCTGCAATAAACGTACGTTGAAGTCCTAACCCCTAATACCTCAGAATCTTCCCATGTTTGGAAATAGAGTTTTCACAGAGGTAACCAAGTTAAAATGAGGTCATTAAGGTGGAAATTTGGACACAGAGACAGACACGAACAGAAGGAAGATGATGTAAAGGCAGGGAGAACATCATGTGAAGAAGGAGGATTGAAGTGACGCATCTGCAAGCAAAGGAATGCCACAGATTGCCAGCAAACCCAGAAGCTAGGAAGAGGCAAGGAAGGATTCTTCTGAAGCTTTCGGAGGAAGCATGGCCCGGCCAACACCTTGATTTCTGATTTCTAAACTGTGAGATAATACTTTTCTACTGTTTTAAGCCACCTAGCTCTCCAGTATTTTTTGTTGTTACAGCAAACTTAGGAAACTAATACAACTGCCACATTTTAAGCTTCTGTTGATATTATTTCTTCTGCTTCTATTTCTCCCCTTTTTGCTCTTTAAAAAAAATTCTATTCATTTTTAGAAGCCCAGTCACATCTTACTTTCCTCTGTTGCCACTGTCTCTTTTAAAAACTGGGCCAGGCACGGTGGCTCACACCTGTAATCCCAGCACTTTGGGAGGCCGAGATGGGCAGATCACTTGAAGTCAGGAATTCTAGAACAGCCTGGCCAACATGGTGAAACCTTGTCTCTACTAAAAAATACACACACAAAAAAAAATTAGCTGGGAGTGGTCGTGGGTGCCTGTAATTCCAGCTACTCAGGAGGCTGAGGCAGGAGAATCGCTTGAACCCAGGAGGCAGAGGTTGCAGCAGTGAGCAGAGATCTAGCCACTACACTCCAGCCTAGGCAACAGAGTGAGACTACATCTTAAAAAAGAATAAAAAGTAAAAATAATTATTCCTTGAAATTTGAACTCCTATATCATTTCTTGTATTCTTAGTACTAATGATTTGTTATATTCTGTGGGTTATGAGGTTTAAAAAGCAATACATACCCTTGTATGTATATATTCTCTTCCTCAGTCTAGGCTTTAAACAGAGAATATGTCTTATCTGTTGATATTTAATAGGTTAGCAATGACATAAGTGTAAGTACTCAATAAATATTTTTAGTGACATTATGCTATTATCTCCTAATTGGTAAATACACTTGAATAATCTAGTAAAACATAAAAAACACCAATGACTTTCATTATTAGAAAGATGATCTAATTTTAATGAATCTTAATTATATAAATAATAAATATGATGGTACAGCATTTTTCTCCCAATCATCTTTATATGTTATGAGGTTTAAAAAGCAAACAATCTATTCATTCAATCTTATATTCCACTTTATCGATTTAATATATCATCATAGAAACATTTTCTCTACTTTTGTATGTTTATGCATTAATAAATAATATTGAAATCATAGTATGCATTCAATATTTTGTTCCACTTTATTCATTTAAAATATATTGTACTCTGAGAAAGTTATATATTAACCAATTATTCAAAAGCATTTTATTGGTTATATAACATTTTATTCATATAGGTACACCATAATTTATTTAACGGTTCTCTATGGTTATTTAAACGGTTGTAATCTTTACTCTCATAATTTCATGAAGATTATCTTTGCTCATATATCCTTGATAGTATCTGATATGGTTTGGATATTTGTCCCTCCAAATGTCATGTTGAAATACAATGCCCAATGTTAGAGGTGGGGCCTGGTGAGATGTGTTTGGGTCATGGGGGTGGACCCGTCATGCCATGTACTGTACTCATGATAGTAAGTGAGTTATAATGAAAATATGGTTGTTTAAAAGTATGTGGCACCTCCCCAACCTCTTTCTTGCTCCCACTCTCACCATGAGATGCCAGTACCCCTTTCCCTTTCACAATGATTGTAAGCTTCCTGAGGACCTCACCAGAAGCAGATACTAGCACCATGCTTCTTGTATGGTCTGTAGTGTACAGTGAATCAATTAAACTTCTTTTCTTTATAAATTACCGAGTCTCAGGTAAATTTTTATAGCAATACAAAACTAATAAAGAAAATTGGTACCAAAACTAGAGTGTTGGCTGGGTGCAGTGGCTTACACCTGTAATCCCAACATTTTGGGAGGCCAAGATGAGTGGATCACCTGAGGTCAGGGGTTCAAGACCAGCCTGGCCAACATGGTGAAACCCCATCTCTACCAAAAATACAAAAATTAGCCAGGTGTGGTGGTAGGTGCCTGTAATCCCAGCTATTACAGGGGAGTTAAGGCAGGATGATTGCTTGAGACCGGGAGGCGGAGGTTGCAGTGAGCTGAGATCATGCCACTGCACTCCAGCCTGGGTGACAGAGTGAGACTCTGTCTAAAAATAAAAATAAAAATAAAAAATATGGTGTTGCTTTAAAGATACCTGAAAATGTGAAAGTGGCTTTGAAACTGGGTAACAGGAGAGGTTGAAGATCTCAGAAGACAAGAAGACAAGGGAAAGTTTGGAACTTCTTAGAGACTTACAGAGTAGTTATAACCAAAATGCTGATAGAAATATAAACAGTGAAGGCCAAGCTAACAAGATCTCAGATGAAAATAAGGAATTTATTTGGAACTGGAATAAAGGTAACCCATGTTACTCCTTATCAAAGAACTTTGCTGCATTGTGTTCATGCCCTAGGGATCTGTGGAAGTTTGAACTTAAGAGTGATGACTTAGGGTATCTGGCAGAAGAAATTTGTCAGGCCTCTGAACCCAAGCTAAGTCATCATATCCCTTGTGACCTGCACGTATACATCCAGATGGCCTGAAGCAACTGAAGATCCACAAAAGAAGTGAAAATAGCCTTAACTGATGACATTCCACCATTGTGATTTGTTTCTGCCCCACCCTAACTGATCAATGTACTTTGTCATCTCCCCCACCCTTAAGAAGGTTCTTTGTAATTCTCCCCACCCTTGAGAATGTACTTTGTGAGATCCACCCCCTGCCAGCAAAATATTGCTCCTAACTCTGCTGCCTATCCCAAAACCTATAGGAACTAATGATAATCCACCACCCTTTGCTGACTCTCTTTTCAGACTCAGCCCGCCTGCACCCAGGTGAAATAAACAGCCTTGTTGCTCACACAAAGCCTGTTTGGTGGTCTCTTCACATGGACACATGAGACACTTGGTGCCGAAGACCCAGGTCAGTGAGACTCCTTCAGGAGACCAGTCCCCTGTCCTCACCCTCACTCCGTGAGGAAATCCACCTATGACCTTGGGTCCTCAGACCAACCAGCCCAAGGAACATCTCACCGATTTTAAATCAGGTAAGCGGCCTCTTTTTACTCTCTTCTCCAACCTCTCTCACTATCCCTCAACCTCTTTCTCCTTTCAGTCTTGGCACCACCCTTCAGTCTCTCCCTTCTCTTAATTTCAATTCCTTTCATTTTCTGGTAGAGACAAAGGAGACACATTTTATCTGTGGACCCAAAACTCCAGTGTGACCCGGGAAGGCAGCCTTCCCTTGCTATTTAATCATTGCAGGGATGCCTGCCTGATTATTCACCCATGTTTCAGAGGTGTCTGACCATGTGGGGATGCCTTCCTTGGTCTTTCACCTTTAGCAGCAAGCACCACTTTTCTGGGGGGCAAGCACCCCCCGACCCCTTCTGTCCGTGTCTCTACCCCTTCTCCACTTTCCTGGGGGGCAAGCACCCCCCACCCCTTCTCTCCGTGTCCCCACCCCTTCTCTCCGTGTCTCCACCCCTTCTCCCCTTTCCTGGGAGGCAAGCACCCCCCACCCCTTCTCCCCATGTCTCCACCCATTCTCTCCATGTCTGTACCTTTCTTTTTAAACTTACCTCCTTTACTATGGGCAAACTTCTGCCCTCCATTCCCCTTTCTTCTCCCTAAGCCTGTGTTCTCAAGAGCTTAAAACCTCTTCAACTCTCACCTGACCTAAAACTTACATGCCTTATTTTCTTCTGCAATACCACTTGGCCCCAATACAAACTCAATAATGGTTCTAAATGGCCAGAAAATAGCACTTTTAATTTCTCCATCCTACAAGATCTAGATAATTTTTGTCAAAAAAATGGGCAAATTGTCTGAGGTGCCTGACGTCCCCAGGCATTCTTTTACACATTGGTCCCTCCCTAGTCTCTGCTCCCAATGCGACTTGTCCCAAATCTTTCTTCTTTCTCTCCTGTCTGTTCCTTCAGTCTCCACCCCAAGCTCTGAATCCTGTGAATCTTCCTTTTCTACTGACCTATCTGACCTCTTACCTCCTCCCCAGACTGCTCCACCTCAGGTTTCTCCCCGCCAGGCTGAATCAGGCTCCAGCTCTTCTTCAGCCTCTGCTCCCCTACCCTATAATCCTTCTATTACCTCCCCTCCCCACACCTGGTCTGGCTTACAGTTTCTTTCCTCGACTAGCCCTCCCCCACCTGCCCAACAATTTCCCCTTAAAGAGGTGGCTGGAGCTAAAGGCATAGTCAAGGTTAATGCTCCTTTTTTCTTTATCTGACGTCTCCCAAATCAGTTAGCATTTAGGCTCTTTTTCATCAAATATAAAAACCCAGCCCAGTTCATGGCCTGTTTGGCAACAACCCTTAGATGCTTTATGGTCCTAGACCCAGAGGAAGGCCGTCTTATTCTCAATATGCACTTTATTACCCAGTCTGCTCCCGACATTAGAAAAAGCTCCAAAAAATTAGATTCCGGCCCTCAAACCCCACAACAGGACTTAATCAACCTCGCCTTCAAGGTGTACAGTAATAGAGTAGAGGCAGCCAAGTAGCAATGTATTTCTGAGTTGCAATTCCTTGCCTCCACTGTGAGAAAAACCCCAAGCACATCTCCAGCACACAAGAACTCCAAATGCCTGAACTGCAGCTGCCAGGGGTTCCTCCAGAAGCTCCTCCCCCAGGAGTTCCCTTCAAGTGCCAGAAATCTGGCCACTGGGCCAAGGAATGCCCGCAGCCCAGGATTCCTCCCAAGCTGTGTCCCATCTGTGTGGGACCCCACTGAAAATCGGACTGTTCAACTCACCTGGCAGTCACTTCCAGAGCCCCTGGAACTTTGGCCCAAGGCTCTCTGACTGACTCCTTCCCAGATCTACTTGGCTTAGCTGCTGAAGACTGATGCTGACTGATCCCCTCAGAAGCCCCCAGACCATCACGGACACCAAGCTTTGGGTAACTCTTACAGTGGAGGGTAAGTCTGTCCCCTTCTTAATCAATACAGAGGCTACCCACTCCACATTACTTTCTTTTCAAGGGCCTGTTTCCCTTGCCCCCATAACTCTTGTGGGTATTGACAGCCAGGCTTCTAAACCCCTTAAAAACTCCCTCACTCTGGTGCCAACTTGGACAACATTCTTTTATGCACTCTTTTTTAGTTATCCCCACCTGCTTAGCTCCCTTATTAGGTCGAGACATTTTAACTAAATATTCCCAGGCTACAGCCACACCTCATTGCCACCTTTTGCCCCAGTTCAAAGCCTCCTTCGCATCCTCCTCTCGTATCTCTCCACCTTAACCCCCACAAGTATGGGATACCTCTACTCCCTCCTTGGTGACAAATCATGCACCCCTTACCATCCCATTAAAACCTAATAACCCTTACCCCGCTCAGTGCCAACATCCCATCCCACAGCACGCTTTAAAAGGATTAAAGCCTGTTATCACTTGTATGTTACAGCGTGGCCTTTTAAAGCCTATAAACTCTCCTTAAAATTCCCCCATTGTACCTGTCGAAAAACCGGACAAGTCTTACAGGTTAGTTCAGGATCTGTGCCTTATCAACCAAATTGTTTTGCCTATCCACCCCGTGGTGCCAAACCCATATACTCTCCCATCCTCAATACCTCCCTCCACAACCCATTATTCTGTTCTGGATCTCAAACATGCTTTCTTTACTATTCCTTTATACCCTTCATCGCAGCCTCTCTCCACTTTCACTTGGACTGACCCTGACACCCATCAGGCTCAGCAAATTACCTGGGCCATACTGCCCAAGGCTTCACAGACAGCCCCCATTACTTCAGTCAAGCCCAAATTTCTTCCTCGTCTGTTACCTATCTCAGCATAATTCTCATGAAAACACACGTGCTCTCCCTGCTGATCGTGTCCAGCTAATCTCTCAAACCCCAATCCCTTCTACAAAACAACAACTCCTTTCCTTCCTAGGCATGGTTAGGTACTTCCACCTTTGGGTACCTAGTTTTACCATCCTGACTAAACCATTATGTAAACTCACAAAAGCAAACCTAGCTGACCCCACAGATCCTAAATCCTTTTGCCACTCCTCTTTCCGTTACTTAAAAACAGCCCTAGAAGCGGCCCCCACGCTGGCTCTCCCTAACTCATCCCAACCCTTTTCATTACACACAGCCAAAGTACAGGGCTGCGCAGTCAAAATTCTTACACAAGAGCCGGGACCATGCCCTGTAGTCTTTCTGTCCAAACAATTTGACCTTACTGTTTTAGGCTGGCCCCCACCCCTCATGACTGTATCTCTCTGATCCACCTGACATTCACTCCATTTCCCTGTATTTCCTTCTTTCATGTTCCTCACCCAGATCACACTTGGCTTATTGATGGCAGTTCCACCAGGCCTAATCGCCACATACCAGAAAAGGCAGGCTATGCTATAGTATCTTCCACATCTATCATTCAGGTTACTGCTCTGCCCCCCTCCAATACCTCTCAGCAAGCCAAACTCATTGCCTCAACTCGAGCCCTCACTCTTGCAAAGGAATTACGTGCCAATATTTATACTGACTCTAAATGTGCCTTCCATATCCTGCACCACCATGCTGTTATATGGGCAGAAAGAAATTTCCTCACTATGCAAGGGTCCTCCATCATTAATGCCTCTTTAATAAAAACTCTTCTCAAGGCCACTTTACTTCCAAAGGAAGCTGGAGTCATTCACTGCAAGGCCCATCAAAAGGCATTAGATCCCATTGCTCAGGGCAATGCTATAAGGTAGCTAAAAAGCAGCTAGCATTCCAACTTCTATCCCTCGTGGCAGTTTTTCTCCTCATCTGGCCACTCCCACCTACTACCCCGCTGAAATTTCCACCTATCAATCTCTTCCCACACAAGGCAAATGGTTCTTGGACCAAGGAAAATATCTCCTTCCAGCCTCACAGGCCCATTCTATTCTGTCATCATTTCATAACCTCTTCCATGTAGGTTACAAGCCGCTAGCCTGCCTCTTAGAACCTCTCATTTCCTTTCCATCATGGAAATCTATCCTCAAGGAAATCACTTCTCAGTTGTTCCATCTGCTATTCTACTACTCCTCAGGGATTGTTCGAGCTGCTTCCCTTCCCTACACATCAAGCTCGGGGATTTGCCCCTGCCCAGGACTGTCTAATTGACTTTACTCACATGCCTCAAGTCAGGAAACTAAAATACTCTCGGTCTGGGTAGACACTTTCACTGGGTGGGTAGAGGCCTTTCCCGCAGGGTCTGAGAAGGCCACCGCGGTCATTTCTTCCCTTCTGTCAGATATAATTCCTCAGTTTGGCCTTCCCACCTCTATACAGTCTGATAACGGACCGGCCTTTATTAGTCAAATCACCCAAGCAGTTTCTTAGGCTCTTGGTATTTAGTGGCTCCTGGTTTTACCTCAAATCGCCACTCTTAAGTCTCTCTTGAAGTGGATAGAAGATCTTCAGTGGCAAGGTACCCTCCAATACTTTCACCCTGATGAAGTCCTATTCTTTACTTTTATACTCACTCTTATTCTGGTTCCCTTTCTTATGCTACCCTCTACCTCTCCCCAGCTATCTCCACCACACTATCAATCTCACTCTCTCCTACCCATTTCTAATCCTTCTTTAACAAACAGTTGCTGGCTTTGCATTTCTCTTTCCTCCAAAATCTCCAAGGCCTTGACTTACTCACTGCTAAAAAAAAGAGGACTCTGTATATTTTTAAATGAAGAGTGTTGTTTTTACCTAAATCAATCTGGCCTGGTATATGACAACATAAAAAAACTCAAGGATAGAGCCCAAAAACTCACCAACCAAGCAAACAATAATGTTGAACTCCCCTGGACACTCTCTAATTGGATGTCCTGGGTACTCCCAGTACTCCCAATTCTTAGTCCTTTAATACCTATTTTTCTGCTTCTTTTATTCAGACCTTGTGTCTTTCGTTTAGTTTCTCAATTCATACAAAACCACATCTAGGCCATCACCAATAATTCTATATGACAAATGCTTCTTCTAACAACCCTGCAATATCACCCCTTACCACAAAATCTTCCTTCAGCTTAATCTTTCCCACTCTAGGTTCCCACGTCACCCCTAGTTCTGCTTGCAGCAGCCCTGAGAAACATTGCCTATTATCTCTTCATACCACTCCCAAAAATTTTCGCCGCCTCAACACTTTACCACTATTTCATTTTATTTTTCTTATGAATATAGGAAGGCAGGAATGTCAGGCCTCTGAGCACAGCTAAGCTGTCATATCCCCTGTGACCTGCACGAATACATCCAGATGGCCTGAAGCAACTGAAGATCCACAAAAGAAGTGAAAATAGCCTTAACTGATGACATTCCACCATTGTGATTTGTTTCTGCCCCACCCTAACTGATCAATGTACTTTGTCATCTCCCCCATCCTTAAGAAGGTTCTTTGTAATTCTCCCCACCCTTGAGAATGTACTTTGTGAGATCCATCCCCTGCCCTCAAAACATTGCTCCTAATTCCACTGCCTATCCCAAAATCTATAAGAACTAATGATAATCCACCACCCTTTGCTGACTCTCTTTTCAGACTCAGCCTGCCTGCACCCAGGTGAAATAAACAGCCTTGTTGCTCACACAAAGCCTGTTTGGTGGTCTCTTCACACGGACGTGTGAGACAAAATTTCTAAGTAACAAAGCATTCACAGTGTGGCCTGACTGCTTCTACCAACCTATGTTCAGATAGAGGAGCAAAGAAATGGCTTAAAGTTGGAAATTATATTAATATGAATGGGAAGCAGAGCATAAAAGTTTGGAAAATTTGTAGCCTAACCATGTAGTAGGAAAAAAAAAAAAGCCCATTTTCAGGGGAAGAATCCAAGTGGCTGTGGAGCAACCACTTGCTAAAGAAATTAGCATGACTGAAGGTGAGCCAAGTGCTAATCTGCAAGACAATGGAAAAAAGGCCTTGAAGGCATTTCAGAGACCTTTAAGGCAGCTCCTCCCATCACAGGCCACAAGGACACTATGCAGCCTGGGGACACAGCTCCCTGCATCTAGGCAACTTCAGCTCCAATCTCTGCTCAAAGGGCCCCAAATACAGCTCGGTCCACCACTCCAGAGGGTGCAAGCCATAAGTTTTGCCAGCCTCCATGTGGTTTTAAGCCTGCAGGTAAACAGCGTAAACGTGAAAGATGCTTAGCAACTTCCCCCTGGATTTCAGCGATATATTGGAAAGCGATGTATTGGAAAGCCAGAGTGCCTGGCAGAAGCCTGCCACAATGTGGGGCCCCACACAGAGAAATTTACTAGGGCAGTGCAAAGGAGAAATGTGGGGTCAGAGCCCACACAGAGTCCCCACTGGGGACTGCCTAGTGGAGCCGTGGGAAGGGGGCCACTATCCTCTAGACCTTAGAATGGTAGAGCCACTTGTGTAGCTTGTGCCCTGGCACCTGGAAAAGACACAATCTCTCAACTCCAGCCTTTGAGAGCAGTTGTGGGGACTGCAGCCTGCAGAGGCACAGGGGTGGAGCTGCCAAAAGGCTTGGGAGACCACTCCTTGCACCAGTGTGCTCTGGATGCAGTTCATGGAGTGAAAGGAGATTATTTTGGAGCTTTAAGATTTAATGACTATTCTGCTGAGTTTCAGATCTGCATGGGCTCTGATGCCCCTTTCTTTTGACCA
The DNA here is from genome assembly GCF_000001405.40 of Homo sapiens. Lineage (NCBI taxonomy): Eukaryota > Metazoa > Chordata > Mammalia > Primates > Hominidae > Homo > Homo sapiens. The sequence continues at coordinate 99,009,818 of NC_000005.10, read as the reverse complement.
GTTTCTCCCTTTTGGAAGGCAATGTTTATCCAATGCCTCTACCCCCATTGTATCTTGCAAGTAAATTATTTGTCTTTGATTTCACAGGCTCATAGGTGGACATAACTCATCTCCAGATAAGACTTTGGGCTTTGGGACTTTTGAGTTGGGGCTGAAGTGAGTTGAGACTTCGGAGGACCAATGTCATTTTGGGAGAAGGGATAATTGTGTTTTGAAATGTGAGAAGCACATGAGATTTGGGGTGCCAGGGTGGAATAATATGGTTTGCATAGTTTTCCCTTCCAAGTCTCATGTTAAAATTTAATCCCTAGTGTTGGAGATCAGGCCGGGATGGAGGTGTTTGGGTCATGGTTGTTAATCTTATAGCTTTGTGCTGTCCTCACAATAGTGAATGAGTTCTCGTGAGATTTGGCTATTGTTGTTTTTTTGTTTGTTTGTTTTTGAGATGGAGTCACACAGGCTGGAGTGCAGTGACACAATCTTGGCTCACTGCAGCCTCCACCTCCCTGATTCAAGCAATTCTCGTGCTTCAGCCTCCCAAGTAGCTGGGACTACAGGTGTGTGCCACCATGTTCAGTTAATTTTATATTTGGTTGTTTAAAAGCATGTGGTACCTCCCCTACTTTCTTGCTCCCACTGTCACCATGTGAGATGGTGGCTACCCCTTCAACTTCAGTCATGATTGTAAGCTACCTGAGGCTCACCAAAAGCAGATGCTTGTATCATGCTTCTTGTATGGTCTGAAGAACTGTGAACCAATTAAACCCCTTCTCTTTATAAATTACCCAATCTCAGGTTTTTTTTTATAGCAATGCAAAACTGACTAATACAGTATCTAAGATTATTTTCTTGAGTAAATTTTTGGAAAAGGAATTAGTAGGTCAAAGAGTATGAATATATTTGTATTGACACAGGTTCTTGACATGGGTCCCCAAATTGTTCCTCATAACTGGTTATTCTTATTTGAAATCCATCAGCAGTGTATGAAAAGTGCCTATCACCCATAAGCTTGAAACATTTTAGTATTATGTATTTTTTTTTTGAGATAAGGTCTTGCTCTGTCACCCAGGCTGGAGTGCAATGGCATGATCTCAGCTCACCGCAACCTCCACCTCCTGGGTTCAAGCGATTCTCCCACCTCAGCCTCCCAGGTAGCTGGAACTACAGGGGCACGCCACCACACCCAGCTAATTTTTGTATTTTTAGTAGAGATGGGGTTTCACCATGTTGGCCAGTCTGGTCTTGAACTCCTGACCTCAGCTGATCTGCCGCCTCGGCCTCCCAAAGTGCTGAGATTACAGGCGTGAGCCACCGCACCCAGCCTTGATATTATAAATTTTAATGGCAGTATGATATATAAAATTGTCATACTGGTGTATTTGTCTGTTTTCGTGCTGCTGATAAAGGCATACCAGATACTGGGCGATTTACAAAAGAAAGAAGTTTATTGGACTCACAGTTCCACATGGCTGGGGAGGCCTCAAAATCATGGTGGAAGGGGGAGCAAGTCACGTCTTACATGGATGGAAGCAGGCAAAGAGAGCTTGTGCAGGAAAACACCCCCTTATAATAACCATCAGATCTCATGAGACTTACTCACTATCACAAGAATGGCACAGGAAAGACCTGCCCTCTTGATTCAATTACCTCCCACTGTTTCCCTCCCACAACATGTGGGAATTCAAGATGAGATATGGGTGGGGACACAGCCAAACCATATCAACTGGTCCAACAATATTTTGGATTTCCTAAGATTGCAAATGTTTATTAGTGATTTGTATTTTTGTGGATTTTCTGCTTAGGATCTTTTGTCATTTTTCTATTGTAGTATTAGTATTTTTCTTATAGAATAGGGTGTTAGGTAGACTTTTCTACTCTCTTCAATCTAGGCTTAGACTTAAGCTGAAGTCCAGAGGTGCCAAGTATCCTACATGCTAAAGAAAGACATAAAAATGCCATCAAATTTGTGAACAGAGAGTTTTCTCTACCCTCAAGGTTTACAAAATAGCCCTACAGCATCTTCCCACCCCCATCTTCCACTCCATACAAAGCACACTGCTAAGAAGTAGGAAGAATACAATTCAGAGAGTAGTTATTTTGGCTATTCAAGAACTATTTTTGTAGCATTTTTCTAATCCCTCTACCCATTTCTTGAAGTCACTCCCAGTAGCCAGAAACACAGCTTTTGGTAGTACTAGGAATGAAGACATGACCTGGTGGTTTGAAACTATGCAGGACACATTTAATTAAAAAAAAAACCAGCCCAGGCGCGGTGGCTCATGCCTGTAATCCCAGCACTTTGGGAGGCCAAGGCGAGCGGATTACAAGGCCAGGAGTTCAAGACCAGCCTGGCCAACATGGTGAAACCCGTCTCTACTAAAAATACAAAAATTAGCTGGGCATGGTGGCAGGCACCTGTAATCCTAGCTACTCAGGAGGCTGAGGCAGGAGAATTGCTGGAAACCGGAAGGTGGAGGTTGCAGTGAGCCCAGATCATGCCACTGTACTCCAGCCTGGGCAACAAGAGCAAAACTCCAAGTCGAAAAATAAAATAAAATAAAATAAAAAATAACCAGAAGATTTTGGAATCTGCCCAAGAGTGTGCTAAGGGATGAAAAAGAAATTTCGACACAGCACATTTTCAAACAATAATTAAAAAAAAAAAACTATTTCATTTCTATACCCGAACAAGTAGAAATAACTCAATGATCTATTATACTTATTAAAATAATATAAAGTGCTATTTCTGACAGTGTTAATATGTGTTGAAATAGTTTTCTCAATTTGTCTTTTGCCTTTTATTTAAATTTGTTATTCAATATACTGTGTTACATTAAAACTATTGGCCTAACTTGCACTTTAAATGAAACTTTCATGATTTTGTAACATCATGCTTTGAACATTTGGAAAATATTGCATTACTGAGTTATTCAGACCTTCCAAGTAGTGACACATTTCATTGTACAATAAAATAAAATGACAATCACTAATATCACATTAACATTATTTTTAACATCTTAATTGTGAAGTTTTCATGCTCAGAGTACTGGATGGTTTTCTAAAACACTAACTCTTAGTTGAAAGCTTACATTTTTTTTTTATTGATAACAAAATACTGTCAGTTGTTTTCCTTGAGATGACAGTCTTACTGCATTCATTTTTGAGAAAATGTCTGCCAAATATCCAAGTCTGAATAATCCTAATTTGTCTGTCAATTGTTCTTTCAAGTAAAAATAGTGCCCCATGAAAAAAATCAGCTAGTTTGGCCCACAACTTCATCACACAAATGCTTTTCCACAAGACAAATATTGTATTTTTGTACGCAGCAAAAGTGCTATATGAATGACTTATTTGCCACACAGAATATTTAGAAGCCATGTACTAAAGGGTTAATATTTAATCAAATTAGTTGGGCATGGTAGCATTTACTTGTAGTCCCAGCTACTTGGGAAGCTGAGACAGGAGGATCCCTTGAGCCCAGGAATTAGGGTCCAGCCTGGGCAACAGAGCAAGATTCCATCTCAAAAAAAAAAATTACTAAGTAATCATTTTTACTACCTCATCACTATATTCTTGATGTGAAACTACATTTTTTTCTGAGTCCCCAGTGGCCAAGAATCTTATAACTCAGTACAGTTTGGTGCCCCTGCCTTGATTTGTGCTAAGGAGACAGAGGTTTGACCCAGCATTGCTTTTGCATTATCAGTATAAATGTAAACACAAAGAAAATGGCAAGTAATGTCTTAGTTCTGTTTTAAAAATTGTTCTGGCCTTATAGATCCCCTGAAAGGGTCTTGGAGATCCCTATGGTTTCATGGATCATACTTGGAGAAACACTATTATGTGTAATACCATGATAGTGAATGAAATATTCATAGGTTAATTGATGGTGATGCTGACAGACATTTCAGACAAATAACACAAATTTTAAAGCCAAATTTATCCAAAGTGACAGTATATTCAAGAAAATCAACCTGCCAACAGATTGGTAACTGGTCTCCCCGGGGAATCCTGCTCTTTCAGAGGCTCAGCTAGGCTACTGGCCAGGCAAGCACTCAGCAGTGGCATTAATCAGATCAGCCTTGATGAGAGTAAGTTCATGTTGTTGAACCCATGTGTAATCTCCATTCCTGCTGTCAAGGCCACTTTGTTCATAAGCCCTTGAGGAAGCACTTGTAGATGCAGCTAGAAGCTGAATGTTATGCATACAATGGGTCTTCTTGTCTAGCTGGTAACTGCAAGACTCTTCAGTCAGTGACCTTTGGTAGGAATTCACATGAGACAAATACTCATATTCTGTCCTTATTCTGGGGGCACATACAAATACCTTTTGCCCAGATCTCCTTATCTTCATTCCTCCAGTTGTGTATCTTTCAAGTCATTGAATTTCCAGTGACAATCACTAGCCACTGTCAATATGATCCATATTTTTGGCCATCTCTCCTTCCAGGTGGAGTGGGCAAGCAGACGGATATACTGCTTGAAGTCCTGCTCAGTAGAAGTATTTCATTTCCTTACTATCATTCCAGACCACCTCTGAGTTGGGCCATAATTATGCATCAATTCACTTCTATCTGTGTCAGCATATCACTCAGAATCATATGTAAACCAGGCCTGAATTTTTTTCTTCCTCAGTCAGGGGGAACTCCCCATGAGGTCAGAAGAGTGAGTTGAAGGACAGGCAGCAATGCAATAACAGTAGGTGTCATGAGAGTCTAAACCTCAATTCATGCAAATCACATATTCAGTACCTCTTTGAGCTCAATCTCACACCACTATCACTTTATAATGGGGTTTTGCTGTTGATGTCCAACTTTAGAGCTTTGGGGATCAGATACATCCAGTTCATGACACTCATCTCAGATTGCCTGGTCATTTGATGTCCCATGGTCAGATATTCAATCTCTACCAGAAATGAGTGGCAAGAAAGATGCCATTTCTAAAAAGGTGAATGAATATCTACATTACTTTGTCTTAAAATCTTACAAGCATAGATTGTCATTCTTTATGGGGATTTGCCAGTAGCTCCATGGAACAGCCCTAAAAGTCACAGACCTGCTGATTCATATGGCCTAAATGGTAAAATAACTTGTACTGTAACCTGGACCAGCTTCAGAGTCTTCTTTTGCTCTGAGCTCCATTCGAAACTCAGTAAATGGGCAAAGCAAATCACACAAATTAGACATATGTTGACTCCAGATCCACAAAGTACCCACTTGTTTAATGCTAGTGGGTGGGAGATACATCAAGTTAACTTTTACTTTGGAGGAGAGATCTCAGTATATCTCGAACCCCAGGGACCTTGGGAACCCAATAAGTTTTCATGGGATTTATCTCCTCCCCCAGCACAAATGTGTCTTACTAAAGTTTCCCAATAGATCTATAAGTATGATTTCATAGATTATGTAGCCTGGATTATGACAGAGAGCCGCCACAGAGCTGAAAGTTAACAGTGAATTTTTTTTTGTCTTAATCATGTGACAGCAAATTGCTTCTTGGTTGGAATAGAGTGAATAAAGCATTTGCCAGAGCAATAGCTGCATACTAGGTATCAGAGATTTTGTTGTTTTGATCCAGTAAAGAGACTACATACATAAAAGCAGTAGTATTTCCTGTCACCACCTGATTAAGTTTATGAAAGTTGGCCAGGCACGGTGGCTCATGCCTGTAATCCCAGCACTTTGGGAGGCCAAGGCAGGCTGGTCACTTGAGGTCAGGAGTTCAAGACCAGCCTGGCCAACATGGTGAAACCCCATCTCTACTAAAAATAGAAAAATTAGCCAGGTGTGGTGGCGCTCACCTGTAATCCCAGCTACTTGGGAGGCTGAGGCAGGAGAATCACTTGAACCCGGGAGGCGGAGGTTGCAGACAGCCAATATCAAGCCACGGCACTCCAGCCTGGGCAACAGGGCAAGACTCTATCTAAAAAAAAAAAAAAAAAAAAGTTTATGAAAATCCTCTATCACTCTCCAAAAGCCCACTACCATCATGACAAGCTAAATCAACACTCTTGCATCCCTCAAGACTTTCATGGTGACATTAATCTCCACAGACCTCCTCATTGATGCACTATTGCTTTTGATTTAACATTTCGGTTGATCAGAGTAATTCTAGTGGTTTCTACTTGGCCCTTTTCATGTTAGCCATCATTCTACAGGCAATGGACCCAGTTTGAAGAGTCTGTTGGTTTTCAAGTGTTTTCTTGGGAACTACAAATTCAGAAATAAAGAGAATTACCATAGGGCCCACTGTGAGAAGAAATTAGACCAAAGCTCCATATAACTTCTAACATCTATAAATCCCCACTCTGACTATTTGGTCAAAGACCATTTGAATTCTCCACGAATTAGCATCAACTCTAAGTCTGTCCCAGTAATCCCAGAAAAATCTGGATGTTACCCTCTTTCCAGTACACAGATAACCTATCAAACAGCCTCTAGTGACTTTCAGGAAGGCAAAGTGGAAAACTTACAGTATACTCTATTGGTAGAATTGTAGAATTGTTCCTCAAGGAGACAACCTTGCTCCTATCTCAAAATCGGATGTCTATTCCTGAACCAGTTCCACAGTGTTTCTATTAATATAGCTTTATAATGTGTCCTCAAAACTGATAAAGTAATTCCTAATATTGTCAAAGATTATTTTGGCCATTCTTATACATTTGCTTGTCCTAATGAATTTTGGAATCCATTTGGCAAAGTACACACATGCATATACACACACACACATTAGCATTTTTATTGAGATTGTTTGGATTTATAAATTAATTAAGGGAACAATTAGATTTTTGTAGCATTAAGTCATCTCATCAGTGAACATGATGCATCTACTTATTTGGAAATTTTATATCTTCTATTAAATTTTGTAATGTTCTCAGTAGAGGTCTTGCACATTTTTATTAGTTTTATTTCTAATTGGTCTCATCCCAAAAAATTAAAATTTATTAGAAGCTCACATTCTCATCCATCTACCTCCCTTCTCCCCTTTATAGCCAAACTTCTAGAAAAGTCCACATACATGTTTCCATTTACTTACTTCACTTCCTCTTAAACATAATGCAATTTGGATTCAATTAGCCCCACTTCATCAAAACTGCTCAGTCACCCATGAAATGCATAATGAAAAACTCGAAAAGTCTTTTCTCAATTCTTATTTTGCTTAACTTTTAAAAAATTTTAGATTTAAAATTTATATAAACTCACTTATTATAATTCATATTTCTATGAATTTTGACAAATTCATAGAGCATCATCACGGTCATATACCAAACAGTTTCATCAGGCTGGGCACAGTGGCTCTCACCTGTAATCCCAGCACTTTTGGAGGCCGAGATGGGCAGATCACTTAAGGTCTGGAGTTCGAGACCAGCCTGGCCAACATGGTGAAACCCCATGTCTACAAAAATTAGCTGGGAGTGGTGTCCTGCACTTGTAATCCCAGCTGCTCAGGAGGCTGAGACAGGAGAATCGCTTGAATCCAGGAGGGCGGAGGTTGCAGTGAGCTGAGATCATGCTGCTGCACTCCAGCCTGGGCAACAGAGCAAGACTCCATCTCAAAAAAAAAAAAATAGTTTCATCACTCCCCAAATTCCTTCCTGCTTCCTCTTTATGGTGAGCCTCCATCTCTACCCTACTCGTGGCAACCACTGATTTGTCTCCCATCTTAATATTTTTGACTTGTTTAGAATGTTAAATATGTAAAATCATACAATATAAATTTTTTTGCTTCTATCTTCTTTCACTTTCACAAAATATATTTGAGATTCATTCATGTTGCTACATGAATCCATCATATTTCCCATATTTTATTGCTAAGAAGAGTTCCAATGTATAGATATACCACAAATTGCTAATTCATTTATTCAAGTTTGAATTGTTTCCAGGTTTTGACAACTACAAATAAAACTGCAATAAACATTCATGTACAGATTTCAGTGTGAACATAACCTTTCATAAATCTTGGGTAAATATCTGAGAGTCAGACTCCTGCATTATGAAAAGTATGTTCTTACATGATAGAATATATGATGGTAAGTATCGTTTAAATCTGCTTAAATCAACGAGGTTGTCAAATTGTTTTTCAAAGTGGCTATGACAGCAAAATATGAGGATTCCAGTTGATCCACATCCTCACCAACATTTGGTAATATCAGGAATTTTTCTCTATTCTCATAGGTATTTTGGGCATTTCATTGTGATCATACTTTGCATTTCCATAATGAGTACCATATCTTTTCATATGCTTATTTACCATCAACATATCTTTTTGAGTTGATTTGTTTATATTTTTGTTTTTTTAATTGTTGAATTTTGAGCATTCTTTATATATTCTGAACACAGGTTCTTGTTGTTGTTGTTGGTGGTGGTGGTGGGGCTGCTGGTGGTTTTTTTGGTCAGAAGTGTGACTTTAAATGTTTTCTTCCAGTCTGTAGGTTTGTCTTCATTTTCTACCAGTGTCTTTTTCAGAGCAAAAGATTTTAATGTTGCTAATTGTTGGACTTCTTAGCAGCATTTGACATAACTTTCTCATCTTTCAGGTCTCAGCTTCAGAAGGCTTAGCTGAATTAGCCTTCTTCAATATTTTTATCTCAGTAAATTTCTACCATATTACCCTCTATATTTTCTTTATGGCATCTCTTACATGTTGTAATTATTTTATTTATGTATTATGTTTCTTATGTATATTCCCCACTATGTTGTAAACTCCATGAGTATTAACTGGCCATGTCTGCTCTTTCACAATAGTGCTCTCAGTGACTAATAGAGAATCTGGCAAATAGTTATGGGAAGGAAGGAAGGGACAGTAGGTCTTGAAAGAGAGGTCAAAGGTTATTCTGATAATTCTAGCTCAAGAAATTGGCTAATTGTTAATAATTTAAATGAAAATCGAATATAGAGCAGGAAGAGATGGCTTGAGAGAAAAGTTAATATATTTATTTAAGGCCTACTAATTTTAGAGAATATCAGGAGACATGGTGGTATCTGCCAAATTTCTCCATGTAATTATCCCTCTTTTCCCATTATTAATAAGTATGTTAGGGGTAATAATTTGAGACTATGCAAATATCTTATTTTTCCTCAAACTTTTTCCCACTGATTTTAGAATCCTTCCACATATTTTACCTGCAACAATTGTGTTTGTCTATTGGAAATTTTAAAGTTTCCTCATTCTTTTCTCATATATTAATTGGATTTTTCTATAAAAAATAAGCTTTCCTTTCTCTCTCAAATATTTATTTATTCAACTATTCCAAATCATATTCCTTCTGTTTGCCTTATTTGCCAGGCAAGTGAGGATTTAGCAAAACAACAAGAGAAGAGCAAATGCTATTTAAAAAGACAAATCACAAACAATTTTCAAATTTTTCACATTAGCCTGTCAAGCCAGATGGACTGGTCAAACAACAAAAAAGTTAGATTAAGACGAGGCACACAAATACCATTGATCAAAGCAACATGAGTCCATAGAAAACAAAGTTACCACAAAAAGACAAAAGTACTTACCGACTGTGTGTGGTGTCTTAAGAGCAAAAGGTAAGTCAATGCATTTTGATAACTAATGTTCACTTTGTTCCTCTCCGACTCTTACTGGGTAGAGTTTCTAAATACAAGAAGAAACTAACTGCTTTATTTCAAAATGGGTAGTGGGTTTTTTCTCTTCTTTTAAAATCGACTTTTATTGTATTCAAAACAATGGATAGTGGTTTTAATGGTTTATTTGAGCAGGGGCTTTTTCCCTCCAACCAAGACATCTATTATTTTTCAGAGAAAACCCAACCAATACATTGTTGGGTTGAAGCAGTATGAATATTGATACCATCAAATGTTTCTGCCTTAAGAAAGATTATTTCCACGCCTATATCAATAATCTATTTTTTGCAAAATAGGTTTTGCAACAGATTGGTATACTGTGAAAGAAAAAAAAACATCATTTGCCTGTGAGGAGAATAAGCATTGGATTTTGGAAATGAGCCACAATTTCTTGGGTTGCCTAAGAACAAGCCACCAAACTTGCCTAAACCTGATTTTCCCATCTATGAAACAGTAATAGTTTTTACCTACCTCATTAAGCGATGTCAGACATTAATTAATGTTCATAATGGGCTTGAGATCTGTGATTAAAAGCTGTCATCGTTGATGGAAAACAGAGCCATTCAACTGTTGAGGAGGAGTAAACAAATCGGGGAAGATATGTAGTCCATGAGAAGAGATATTGAAAAGTGAAAAATTCATCAGGAAAGGGGAAATGGAGACTGAGTCAAAAATCTCATCTGATCTATAAGTATTTGTGATTTTCCCCATGGAATTAAGTAATATACCTCCCTAATGTCTTAATAAGGAACTATTCTTTCCTACACTAAGATTCTTAACCTTCTAGTGCCATCGAGCTTTTAAATATTTTAGCAAAGCCTATGGACTATTCTTGTAATAATTTGTAAATGCTTTTAGAAATATGTAGGATTATGAAAGAAACCAATTTTATCAAGACACAGTTTTCAAAATGTTTTCAAATTTAATTTTAGAGTAATACATATGCTTCTTTATTAAATTAAATGAAATCTAATGGCAGTCTGGTAACTACCATAATTTTTAAGTAGTGATGGTTATAAACAACACTTCAAGATATTTGCAGCAACTCCAATGCAATATAAAAATTTCAGTGTTTTCTGCTGATGACAAAGTTAATACTGTGCTTTGTTGTCTACATTTACAATTTTTTTAATGTTAGGTTTAATTAGGAGTTACTGAAAATAAAGATGTATTTTACCCCACCCAAGTTCGTGAACACTTTAAATTTTATTCACAGGCTCCTTTGGGATGTTTGGATCTCAGGTTTTAAGAAATCCTATTCTACACTTCTCCTGGAATTTCTAGGGTAATACTAAGAAATAAATATTATTTCTCAATGTGTAATCAGGTAATCACAGGTACAAGTGTTTATTAAAATGCAAATATGTTGGCCTTTTCCTAGACTTACTAAACAAAACTAGGGATGGAGAATAGGTGTGAATCCATATTTTTAGTAAGTACCCAGCTGACTGACATGTATACTAAAGTTTGAGAATTGTTAAAGAGTTGATTACCTCAATAGTCATCTTCAATGGAATCATAGTTATCAAGCCAAGGAGTCTCAAATATTAGTTTGAGATATCATAACATAGTAGCTCTGAAAGGGAATAAGAAATTTTAATTTTTCAACAGGAATTTCAAATATTATGATGAATATATTCTCCATTCCATTATGAGAAATATTCCTAACCAAAGACATTAAAAGTCAAAGTAAAACATCTGCCTGAAAATGAGAGGTGCTGCTGAGGAGCTTCACATCAGAATCTTCAACAGTACTCCACTCCTTTTCCTTTTCTGCACCAATTAACATTCTTTAAAAGAGTATCCTCACATAGAACAGTTAAATACAGAATCGATGCATTATGTCACAGAAGATACAAAAGAAGAGTGGCACTTATTTCTGCCCATTTAAAACATTATGCACTCAACTGGTAGGCAAAAATTAAATTTGTCATCAACATGAAAAGCAATAATTATAGAATAATAGGGTTGCAGAAGATCTAAAGATCATCTCAAGCTTTCAGTTACTACCTTTTTGGCTTCTGCCTCACAAATCTTTATCCCTATCCCAGAACTCTCTGTAATTTGATTTCAGACCAGTATATCCAACCACCTGCTAGACATCTATTCCTGAATATTACAGACAACTACAAACCAAAACTGAAATCATCACATTCTCTCTTACATTGTTTGTCTGGGGTTTTGGTACCCCCATCTTACAAGGCATTCAGAAGTTATCCTGGACTTCTCCCTAATTTTTTCTTTGCTAGGAGACACTGAGACACTTTTGGGGTGGCTGACCAACTTTAAAGCTCCAGCAGTGGCCTAGCATCCCTTAAGTCTGCATTTTTTTTTTTTTTTTTTTTTGAGATGGAGTCTTGCTCTGTCACCCAGGCTGGAGTGCAGTGGCGCAATCTCAGCTCACTGAAACCTCTGCCTCCCGGGTTCAGGCAATTCTTCTGCCTCAGCCTCCCAGTTAGCTGAGACTATAGGCGCGCAACACCACGCCCAACTAATTTTTGTATTTTTAATAGAGACAGGGTTTCACCATGTTGGTCAGGATGGTCTCGAACTCCTGACCTCGGTGATCCGCCTGCCCCAGCCTCCCAAAGTTCTGGGATTACAGGTGTGAGCCACCACGCCCGGCCAAGTCTCCATTTTTGGAGTGCCAATCTCCAATATGGCTGATGTTGTAAGATGAACATAGTGCTTGGATGCTGTGTATCCTTCTGATACAGCTTTCATGCCCCAAACTAACTCCAAAAACACAACTACAGACCTAGGAAAGTTTAGGAGATTATGTTTTACATGAGTTCAGATTTAGGCCTCTTTGAGAAATGCCTTTCATGCCTATGATTCATTTTTCCTTGTATTCATCTTTACGTTCCCCTCACTCCATTCAAGTCATAGGATTTCCGGATCTGAATTTAGGGTATAGTTCTTGGTGAACAGTCTTTCAGTCTGCCTCTGACCTAAACAAGAGAAATCCTTGGGGACCCACAAAGTCCTGATTGAATCACGAGTAGACTACATTAGAATTGGAGTCCAAAGCCCAACCTAGCAGCATATGACTCAGAAGTTGGAATTCTAGCCAGCTGCGGTGGCTCATGCCTGGAATCCCAGCACACTGGGAGGCTGAAGTCGGATGGCTGCTTAAGCCCAGGAGTTCAAGACCAGCCTAAGCAATATAGTGAGACCCTGTCTCTACAAAAAATAAAAATTTAGTCCAGTGTGCTGATATGTGCCTATAGCCCCAGCTACTTGGGAGGCAGAGATGGGAGGATCACTTGAGCCCAAGAGGTCAAGGCTGTGGTGAGCCATGATTGTGCCACTGCACTCCAGCCTGGGCAACAGAGCAAAACCCTGTCTCAAAAAATTTAAAAAATTTTTAAAAAGCAGAATTTGGAATTCTGATCACCAACATCTGGTGTAGTTAAACTGATCAAAGCATATATACACAGCTAAGGTTTAGGACGTAAGATCACTAAAGAATCTTAAACTTTAAGGGCTGTTGTCCTATTTATGGATAAATCCCCACAAGAAGAGCAAGGCTAATGCACAAGTATGGGATCCAGTAAGTAGACCATTGTCTTGGTGAAGACGGGGATTCAGTTCTAGGGTGTCTGGCTCAAGACAGAGCCTCAGTATGTAAACTTCTGACTTAAAAATACCAAGTACTGCTGGATTGCTCTGTGTTCTCCACTCCAAGATCAACTTTCTTCTTCATCCTATTCCTCAGCCAGGGCTGAAGGAATAATATTCAATGCTAGAGAAAATAGGCAAATTCCTCCTGGAACAGGAAAATAGGTGGCAGAAAAGAATGCCTGCATCACCCTGAGAAGAACAACTTTAACCAAGGTTTTGTGATTTCGACGCTGAAGAAAGGTGAGATTTGGGGAACGAGACTCTGCAGAGATAATATCCTTCTCAATGAGCCCCTGTATGCACAGTGCTGGAAGAACTTGGAGCAAAGAAAGCTAGGGTTCTGCTGGGATTAAAGTAGCTCATAGTGGCCTCTGTTCATATATTATTGAACTCATATTTAGTGGAAGATGACCTAGAATATACCTTAGAGGAAAAGACTCGGGCTGAAACATGGCCCTGAGTTAGTCCCAACAGTGGGAATGCATGGATTTAAAAGAAAATGTGCATGGTTGCAGGTAAACAGGAGGGAGACATGCAAGAGAGCCTGAGACACTGAATCTGATATTAGAGCTTTGATTTCTCTGTAGGAACAGAGAATTGGCTTGATATTGGGAAAAGATTTGTATTGTTAAAATGTATAAGGTGTATACAGAAAATAACTTACATTATGTGGTGCAGACCTCAAGGGCTCATTCTATTCTATAGTGGTTGAGAGGTGGATTTTGGAGTCAGACCATCTGGGTTTTAATACTACTTCCTCTATGGGCAAGTCTCTTAACCTCTTGTCTTCTCTTAAAAGTAGAAAAAATAATTATACCTATCCATAAATTAGTTGTGAGGATTACACGAACTGATATATAGAAAACACAGAATTGTGTTTAGCACATAATAGCTGTATAAATGTTAGCTATAATTACTGTATTATAGTGTGGTAAGTTTGCCGGGCAATGCATAGCTGAGCATACTTTATTTTTATTTATTTATTTATTTTTGAGATGGAGTTTCACTCTTGTCACCCAGGCTGGACTGCAACGGCATGATCTTGGCTCATTGCAACCTCCGCCTCCTGGGTTCAAGTGATTCTCCTGCCTCAGCCTCCCAAGTAGCTGGGGCTACAGGCATGTGCCACCACACCCAGCTAGTTGTGTATTTTTAGTAGAGATGACGTTTCATTATGTTGGTCAGGCTGGTTTCGAACTCCTGACCTCAGGTGATCCACCCACCTCGGCCTCCCAAAGTGCTGGGATTACAGGTGTGAGCCACCGTGCCTGGCCTGAGCATACTTTAAAATAAGGAAAGAATCACATCTAGAGGCACATGCCAGAAAGAGTAAAAAATTTAAAAAAAGAAAAGCAAAATAAAATAAGGATAGAAATAGAAGGAGCATTTGCCTAATGCAGGCTACAAAGGAAGTAGCAAGCCCAAATACTTGTAGGGGACAGGTAAGTTGCACAAATATATGTAGACGATGTGTATTAGAGTTATCAGAAAGACAGATATAATAGGATATGTACATAGACATATGACAGGGGATTTATTAGGAGAATTGGCTCACATAATTGTGGAGGGTGGGAAGTCTCCCAATAGGCCATCTGCAAACTGGATGCTCTGGGATGCTGGTAGCATGGCTTAAACCAAGTCTGAAGGCCTCAAAATCAGGAAAGCCAATGGTGTAACTCTCAGTTGGAGGCTGAACGCCTGAGAATCTGGGAGCTGCTGGTGTTAAGCCCTGGAGTCCAAAGGCCGGAGCCTGGAGTTCTGATGTCCAAGGATAGGAGAGGAAGAATGCATCCCAGCTCTAGGAAATAGATGGACATATTTGTCTGTCCTCTGTTTTTGTTCTCCAGCCCTGGCAAATTGGATGGTGCCCACCCACGTTGAGGGAGGGTCTTCCTCACCTAGTCCATTCACACTCACATGCTAATCGCTTCTGTAAACACCCTCACAGACACACCCCAAAATAATGCTTTACCAGGTTTCTGTGTATTCAGTAATCCAGTCAAGTTGACATCTAAAAGTAAACATTACAAGGTGTATTGGGGAGTTCAGAGACAGGGAAATAAAGTAGCGAATAATAGAATCTAGAAGAGGTAGTTGGCTTTTGCAAATCAGAGTAAGCATGTCTATAGTCTAAGGGCATTCAAATTCAGTATTTATTTATCAAAAGTGCTAACCAAATTAAACAGTTTTTGGATCATTCTAAGAGGCTAGCTCCCAGTTGGCCACATACATAGTTTTGAGTTGTCATATGTCATTTCGGTTAAAATATTGTCCTATCCTATTTCTGATGTGTCTAGAGGAAACACCATGCCTTGAGCGGGCTACATGGCCCATCTCTGGATGATGCAAAGCAGCTGTGGTAAGGATTACAATCAGTTAGGGCATTTCTTTTTTTTTTCTCTTTGAGACAGGGTCTCACTTTGTCACCCAGGCTGGACTGCAATGGTGTGAACATGGATCACTGCAAACTCCACCTCCTGGGCTCAAGTGATCCTCACACCTCAGCCCCCTAAGTAGCTGTGATTATAGGGGAACACCACCATATCTGGCTAATTTTTGTATTTTTTGTAGAGACAGAGTTTCCCCACTTTGTGCAGTTTGGTCTTGAACCCCTGAGTTCAGGCAATCCGCCTGCCTTGGCCCCTCAAAGTGCTGGGGATTACAGGCATGAGCCACAGTGCCTGGCCCAGTTAGGGTATTTCTAATACTCTGTGATCTCATTTGAATGGAACAGCAACATCCCATGGTTGGAGTGTTAAATTCATGTGGGTTAACAGGAGGACAAAATAAAAGCTATTGGCTTTACACTTGAGGGAACTCAAGGCGTTTCTTGCCTCACTTCGCCTCCAAAAGAGGATACCTACTGATAACAAAAGTAGGTAACAATGCTGGGGGCTGGAGTTTTTTATGTCACTAGTGAAAAGGTTAAAGCAGTACTTTCTCAACCTTTTTCAGTTTATGCCACAGCCTGCAGTGACTGCGATAAAATTCTTTCATCCTCCTACCTGCCCCAAAGGCACACTCTGACCCTTTTCTTTGAGAAGCACTCTTTAAAGTTCCTTGAATGCATGTGGTATTGCACCTGGCTTTTCCTCACTGGGTTTTTTTCTATAAACCTTCCTTACTTTATGGGTAAGTAGTAGATGGCCTTAGGGTTCCTCCTAATTGAGAAAGTGGTGTCTTCTTTTCTTTTTTCTCTTCCATTCCTAAACCTTCCCTTTTTAAAAGTTCACTTACAGAAAGAATTCACAGAGGTCTATTTGAGCTTGTCGGTCTTCAAGAAAAACATATTTTTGCTTGTGATATACTTTTGCTTGTGACAGTTCTCTCTTTGTTTTTTTTTTTTTTTAATTTAAGTTCTGGGATACATGGGCAGAATGTGCAGGTTTGTTACATAGGTATACATGTGTCATGGTGGTTTACTGCACCTATCAACCGGTCATCTGGTTTTAAGCCCCATATGCATTAGGTATTTGTCCTAATGCTCTCCCTCCCCTTGCCCCCCAGTTCTCTTTTTCTTAAAACTTTTAAGTTTGGGGTTACATGTGCAGGTTTGTTACATAGCTAAACTCATGTCATGGAGATTTGTTGAACAGATTATTTTATCACTCAGGAATTAAGCCTAGTACCCATTAGTTACTTTTCCTGATCCTGTGCCTCCTTCCCACCCTCCACCCTTTCATAGGCCCCAGTGTGTGTTGGTCCCCTCTGTGTGTACACATGTTCTCATCATTTAGCTCCCACTTATAAGTGAGAACATGCAGTATGGATTTTCTGTTCCTGAGTTAGTTTGCTAAGGATAATGGCTTCCAGCTCCAACTATGTCCCTGCAAAGGACATGACCTCATTCTTTTGTATGGCTGCCTAGTATTCCATGGCATATATGTACCACACTTTCTTTATCCAGTCTATCATTGATGGGCACTTAGGTTGAGTCCAGTTCTTTGCTATTGTGAACAGTGCTGCAATGAACTGTTCAGGCAGTTTATTGCAAGACACATGCAATAAAGACACATGCATGTGTCTTTATAACAGAATGATTTATATTCCTTTGTGTATACACCCAATAATGGGATTGCTAGGTCGAATGGTATTTCTGTCTTCGAGGAATCACCACACTGTCTTCCACAATGTCAACCTTTTACCATCTATAAGTCATCAAGAGCCCAAACCAGTGTCTGAGTTTATGAAAAAATGGTCAAGAATGACAGGTGGAGCACTGGGCACGGTGGTTCACACCTGTAATCCCAGCACTTTGGGAGGCCGAGGTGGGTGGATCACGAGGTCAAGAGTTTGAGACCAGCCTGGCCAACATGGTGAAATCCCATCTCTACTAAGAATACAAAAATTAGCCAGGCGTGGTGGTGCGTGCCTGTAATCCCAGCTACTGGGGAGGCTGAGGCAGGAGAATCTCTTGAACCCGGGAGGCGGAGGTTGCAGTGAGCCAAGATCGTGCCACTGTACTTCAGCCTGGGCGACAGAGCAAGACTCTGTCTCAAGAAAAACAACAAAAAAAGAATGATAAGTGGAAATTAGGAAAGTGTACAAAGCTTCTTCTGCTAAGAACTGTACAGTTTTTATTTAATATTAAATATACTAATATATCACCACACCCAGGCAAATCACTTGAGGCCAGGAGTCTGAGACCAGCCTGGCCAATATGGCGAAATCCTGTCTCTACTGAAAATACAAAAATTAGCTGGGCATGGTGGCGCATGCCTGTAATCCCAGCTACTCAGGTGGCATGTACCAGTAGTCCCAGCTACTTGGGATGCTGAGGTGGTAGGATTGTTTGAGCCCAGAAATTCGAGTCCAACCTGGGCAACATAAAGAGACCCTGCCTCCAAATAAAAATAATTAAAAAAAATCAAATATATAAAATACCTAATGAATGTGCAATGCAGATGACTTCAGCAGACTCCAATTCTACTAGGAAACTTGTGGAGCTAAGATAGTAGTTATTCATTTGTCTCTCTTTAATATCTCAACACAGTTTAGAAATCAAAAGATGAGGAGCAATATTAAATTTGGTATTCAAAATTAAGGTTTACATTAATGCTATCAAATGACTTTTATTAATTTAATACTTATATGCTTGGTTTTTCATAGATCAACTTCCCTCTTATTATTTTAAATTTTTATAGACTTAGAGAGTACAAGTGAATTTTTGCTTGTTTCTTTGGTTGGTTGGTTGGTTTTTTTGAGACAGGATCTTGCCCTGTTGCCAGGCTGGAGTGCAGTGCTGGAGTGCAGGGCTTACAGTAACTTCGAGCTCCCAGGCTCAAGCAATCCTCTCACCTTGGCCTCTTGAGTAGGTGAGACCACAAGTGCACATCACCACACACAGCTAATTGTTAAAAAAAAAAAAAAAAAAAAAATTGTAGAGACTGGGTCTCCCTATGTTGCCCAGCAGGTCTTGAACCTCTGGGCTCAAGGGATCCTCACACCTTGGCCTCCCAAAGTGCTGGGACTACAGGTGTGAGCCACCGGGCCAGCACAAGTGCCGATTTGTTACATGGATATACTGCAGAGTGATGAAGTCTGGGCTTTTAATGGTCCCATTATCCTAATAGTGTACATTATACTCATTAGGCAATTTCTCATCCTTCACCCTCCACTTCCACCCTCCTACCTTTCCAAGTCTCCAATATCTGTTATTCCTCTCTCTATGTCCATGTGTACATATTATTTAGCTCCCACTTACTAGTGAGAACATGAGATATTTGGCTTTCTGTTTCTGAGTTACTTCATTTAAGATAATAGCCTCCAGTTCCATCCATGTTGTTGCAAAAAACATGATTACATGTATTTTTATGGATGAGTAGTATTCCATGGTATATATGTACCATCTTCTTTATTCAACCATCCGTTGATGGACACTTAGGTTGGTTCCACATATTTGTTATTGTGAATAGTGCTGCTATAAACATGAGTGCAGGTAGATTTTGATATAATCATTTCTTTTCTTGTGGGTAGATACTCAGTAGTGGGATGTTGGGTTGAATGGTAGTTCTATTTTTAGTTCTTGGAGACATCTCCATACTGTTTTTCACAGAAGTTGTACTAATTTACATCCCCACCAACAGTGTATAAGCATCCTCTTTTCTCTGCATCCTCACCAACATCTATTTTTTTTTTCATTTTTAATAATAGCCATTTTTCACTCCTGTAATCTCAGCACTTTTGGAGGCTGAGGCAGGAGGATTTAGACAGTCTCAACATAGACAGGGTCTTACTATGTTGCATAGGCTGGTCTTGAACTCCTGGGCTCCAGACAGACTCTTGGGCTTGAGCCCAGGAGTTCAAGACCAGCCTGGGTAACATAGTGAAACTCTGCCTCTACAAAAAATAGTAAGTTAGCCCAGCATGGTGGCATGTGCCTGTAGTCCCAGCTACTTGCAAGGCTGAGGTGGGTACATCAGTTGAGTGTGGGAGGTTGAGGCCGTAGTGAGTTGTGATCATGTCACTGCACTCTATCCTGGGTGACAGAGCAAGATTGATATGATTAGGCCTTCTGTTACCACCCAAATCTCATCCTGAATTATAATCCCCATAATCCCCATATGTCAAGGGTGAGACCAGGTGGAAGTAACTGAATCATGGGGCTGGTTTCCCCCATGCTGTTCTCATGATAGACAGTGAGTTCTCAAGAGATCTCGTGGTTTTATATGGGGCTCTTCCCTCTTCCCTTGGCACTTCTCCTTCTTGCCACCTTGTGAAGAAGCTTCCTGCTTCCCCTTTGCCTTCTGTCATGATTGTAAGTTTCCTGAGTCCTCCCCAGCCATGCTGAACTGTGAGTCAGTTAAACCTGTTTCCTTTATAAATTACCCAGTCTCGCGCAGTTCTTTATAGCAGTATGAAAACAGATTAATACAAAGTCCTTGTCCCTAAAAACAAAAACAAACAAATAAACAAAATGAACACACAAAAAACAAAATAAAACCAATCCCAGCCATTCTGACTGGTGTTAGATGATATCTCATTGTGGTTTTAATTTACACTTCTCTGATAATTAGTGATGTGGAGCATTTTTTAATATGCTTCTTGGCCATTTGTATGTCTTCTTTTGAAAAACAGCCCACTTTTTAATGGTGTAGTTTTTTCTTTTTCTTTTTCCTTTTTGTTTTTTTTAGACGAAATCTTGCTCTATCGCCAGGCTGGAGTGCAGTGGCGCGATCTCGGCTGGCTGCAACCTCCGCCTCCCAGGTTCAAGCGATTCTCCTGCTTCAGCCTCCTGAGTAGCTGGGACTACAGATGAGTGCCACCACATCCAGCTAATTTTTGTATTTTTAGTAAAGATGGGATTTCACCATGTTGGCCAGGATGGTCTCGATCTCTTCACCTCCTGATCCACCCACCTCGGCCTCCCAAAGTGCTGGGATTACAGGCTTGAGCCATCGCACCCTGCTGGAGTAGTTTTTTTCTTGCTGAATCGTTTGAGTTTCTTGTAGTTTCTGGACATTAGTCCTTTGCTGGATGCAAAGTTTGAAAATATTTTCTCCTATTCTGCAGGTTTTCTGTTCACTATGTTGACTCTTTTGCTGTACAGAAGCTTTTGAATTTAAGTCCCATTTGTCTATTTTGTTGTTGTTGCATTAGCCTTTGAGGTCTTAGTCATGAATTCTTTGCCTAGGCCAATGTCCAGAAGAGTTTTTCCTAGGTTTTCTTCTAGAACTTTTATTGTTACAGGTCTTACGTTTAAGAGTCTTTAATCTATCTTGAGTTAATTTTAGTATACAGTGAAATAAAGGGATGATCTCTTGAGTCCAGGAGATGGAGGCTGCCGTAAGCCAAGACTGCTCCACTGTACCCCAGCCTGGGCGACAGAGTGAGACCCTGTCTTAAAAGAGAGAGAGAGAGAGAGAGAGAGAGAGAGAGAGAGAGAGAGAGAGAGAGAGAGAGAGAGAGAGAGACTATTAACCCAGATAGGAGATTAAGATGGTTTCAAAATGGTGAAAAGTTTCTGGATTTGGGATATTTATTGAAGGTGAGTCTAAAAGAATTAGTAATAGATTGGATGTGGTTATGAAGAAAGAAAAATTAAAAATTACTCCAAATTACAAATTCCTTCTTTTCCTTAGACTTTACTTCAGTCAAAGATGCTTCCACCTGTCTTTCATTCTTCCTGCCTGCCTGCCTTCCTCCTTTTCTTCCCTCCTCTCTTCTTCATTCAGAATCAGACTTGCATTGCATTCTGATGGTTCAATCAGCTCCATTTTTCTCTCCTTATTTTACAAACAGCATTCTTTTTTATTTATTTATTTATTTATTATTATTATACTTTAAGTTTTAGGGTACATGTGCAGAATGTGCAGGTTAGTTACATTTGTATACATGTGCCATGCTGGTGCGCTGCACCCACTAACTTGTCATCTAGCATTCGGTATATCTCCCAATGCTATCCCTCCCCCCTCCCCCCACCCCACAACAGTCCCCAGAGTGTGATGTTCCCCTTCCTGTGTCCATGTGTTCTCATTGTTCAATTCCCACCTATGAGTGAGAATATGCGGTGTTTGGTTTTTTGTTCTTGCGATAGTTTACTGAGAATGATGATTTCCAATTTCATCCATGTCCCTACAAAGGACATGAACTCATCATTTTTTATGGCTGCATAGTATTCCATGGTGTATATGTGCCACATTTTCTTAATCCAGTCTATCATTGATGGACATTTGGGTTGGTTCCAAGTCTTTGCTTTTGTGAATAATGCCTCAATAAACATATGTGTGCATGTGTCTTTATAGTAGCATAATTTATAGTCCTTTGGGTATATACCCAGTAATGGGATGGCAGGGTCAAATGGTATATCTAGTTCTAGATCCCTGAGGAATCGCCACACTGACTTCCACAATGGTTGAACTAGTTTACAGTCCCACCAACAGTGTAAAAGTGTTCCTATTTCTCCACACCCTCTCCGGCACCTGTTGTTTCCTGACTTTTTAATGATCGCCATTCTAACTGGTGTGAGATGGTATCTCATTGTGGTTTTGATTTGCATTTCTCTGATGGCCAGTGATGGTGAGCATTTTTTCATGTGTTTTTTGGCTGCATAAATGTCTTCTTTTGAGAAGTGTCTGTTCATGTCCTTTGCCCACTTTTTGATGGGGTTGTTTGTACAAACAGCATTCTTAAAAAATGAAATTGTCACTTGTTCCACATTACTGCAAAACAAACAAAAACACAGAAATTCAGTCACTTGTTCAATGAGAGGATCTTTAGAAATAATAATAACAACAATAATAGCTGTATTTGTCAGGAGAGTCTAGGTTATGTTGCTATCATGGAAAAAAATTGGCTGGATGCAGTGGCTCACACGTGTAATCCCAACACTTTGGGAGGCCTAGGCAGGTGGATCATTTGAGGTCAGGAGTTCGAGACCAGCCTGGCTAACATGGTGAAACCACATCTCTACCAAAAATACAAAAAAGAAAAAAAAAATAGCCTGGCGTGGTGGTGCATACCTGTAACCCCAGCTGCTTGGGAGGCTGAAGCAAGAGAATCCCTTGAACCCATGGCAGAGGTTGCAGTGAGCCAAGATTATGCCACTGCACTCCAGCCTGGGCAACAGAACAAGACTCTGTCTCAGAAAAAAAAAAAATGCAGACAAAAATCCATTTCTTCCTTTATGCAAAGTTTACTGCAGGTCCAGGAATTATTCTAGGGCACGTGTTTTCTATGGATTTTCCGGAGATCCAGATTACTTTGATGTATGTTAGCTCTTTCACCTCGACTTGAGGCCTCCTTCATGACCAGCAGGGAAAGATAGATGAAGAATTGTCAATGGACTTTCACTGCATCTGCCTGAAAATGATATGCATCACTTCTGCTCACATTTTTTCATCAAATCAAGTGACACAGCAGTCTTCCATGTGTCAGGAAGGGGAAGATGATGTAACATAAATAAAACCCAGAATTGTCTACCTTATTGTAGCATTGTTACCTAATATATAAATATATAGCATTTTCTATGTGACAGGCTATGAGATTAAGACATATCTATATCTATTTATCTAATCTTTCTATTCACTTTATTCTCACAAAGCTCCTAAGTGATAGGTAATACTAGAATCCCTTCTTTTCAAATAAAAAAAAAGAAACAAAAACCCCCTGCTAATTTAATTTTTTTAAACACTTATTTCAATAGATCACATAAAATCTTTTTATTTTCAATATAGTCCTTGTGGCAGTGGCAACCATGAGAGTGTGCCTCTTAGATCTTCTACAGCAGGAAGTCTAATGGGTCAAGAGCTCTTACCTCTGTGGTCTGAAATCAATTGCTAGGTTTGCACTGAAGCCAAATTTTCCAGGAGCTGCTCCCATCCAGCAGGAAGACAGGCCTGTTCCTGGGAGATGCCAGGACTCTTCTGATGGTCTGCTTTGTGTTTTTTTGTTTGTTTGTTTGTTTGTTTTTGAGATGGAGTCTCGCTCTGTCACCCAGGCTGGAGTGCAGTGGCACGATCTCGGCTCACTGCAACCTCCACTTCCCAGGTTCAAGCGATTCTCCTGCCTCAGCTTCCCGAGTGGCTGGGACTATAGGCGTGCACCACCACACCCGGCTAATTTTTGTATTTTTATTAGAGACAGGGTTTCACCATGTTGGCTAGGCTGGTCTCGAACTCTTGACCTCAGGTGATCTGCCCGCCTCAGACTCCCAAAGTACTGGGATTACAGATATGAGCCACCACGCCCAGCCGGTTTGCTTTGGTTTGAGGACCCTCCAGTGGTCTTGCAGACTTTTCCTTTGATTACACAACAGTAAAAGTTGCTTCTCCCGGTCCTTCCTTTTTCCTTCCTTCCTGCCTGCCTACCTTCCTCCTTTCTTTTTCCCTTTTCTTCACTCAGAATCAGACATGCATAATAGTCCTATGGCTCTCCTAGCATCTCCCAACTCCCCATGTTTCTTTCATCAGTATTTACCCTAACAAATATTTTTCATATTTAATCCTATCTTGGCTTCTGCTCTTTGGAGGATCCAGACTAACACAGGGCTAGTGTATTCTATATGTGACTCTGTGTATATATGATAATAATTTGTAATTTGTAATACTTTTGACTTTTAACTAATTTTAACTTGTATTAAAATAATGTATACACATAATTTAAAAGTTCAGTGGAACAGAAAAAGGCTTATAACAAATTGTAGCAAACTATAACCTTTCCCCTACCTTTCTCAACCTATTCCTTAAATGCTACCACTTTCAATATTCATACATTTTGCTGAGGTGAAGGAGTTTGTAATGATATGCTAATATTGTTCATTCTTGTTTTGTTAATTATATGTATCATAGTAGGTAAGGATATATAACCCCATTTGTCTTTCCCTAAAATTTCTCTAAATATTTTAAATGATCAGTCACTGTTCAGAATATTAAGAATATTAAAATATAATCTAATATTGATTCACTGTGTAATATGATAGTTTTTCATTTTGAAATGTTTTCTTTTTTCCATTTTTTCTTTTTTTTTCTGAGTTACAAATTATCAATCTGTCCAATTTATGTATTTTCCCACATACCTATCAAAAATTCTTTCCAAATTCTCAGAAAGGTCTTCAAAATATCCTCAATACTATTTTGTATATAGTTAAAATGCATCAGATTATCCATCAATCCCAGACACATAGCTGCCATCCAGGAATTCCTTTACCCTGCCTTTATTTTGGGACATCCTGGATCTCAGTGCTCATGATTTGTTTCTAATTTCCAAGATCCAGGATGACCAAAAATATGTTTGGATGGAGTAATTCATTAAATAATATATATATATATTTTTAATTTAGAGACAAGGTCTCACTCTGTCACCCAGGCTGGACTGCACTGGTGTGATCATAGTTCAGTGCCTTGAACTTCTGGGCTCAAGGGCTCCCTCCCTCCTCAGCCTCCCAAAGCACTGGGATTACAGGTGTGAGCCACCACATCTGGCTTGTAATTTTTTTTTTTTTTTTTTGAGACGAAGTTTCACTTTGCTGCCCAGGCTGAAGTGCAGTGGCATGGTCTCAGCTCACTGCAACCACCTGGATTCATGTAATTCTCTTGCCTCCGCCTCCTGAGTGTCTGGGATTACAGGGGTGCGCCACCACACCTGGCAAATTTTTTTTGTATTTTTAGTAGAGACGGGGTTTCATCATATTGGCCAGGCTGGTCTTGAACTCCTGACCTCAGGTGATTCACCCGCCTCGACCTCCCAAAGTGCTGGGATTACAGGCTTGAGCCACCATGCCCGGCCATGGCTTGTAATATCTTAAGAAAGAATGGAAGGGAAGTATATTTTTTGAGACTCACACGTTAAAAATACCTTTGGTTTTTTCTGATAACTAATGAGTAGTTTGGCTAAATATAAAACTCCAGGTTGAAAATTTTTCCTTAGAATTTTGAGAGCATTGACGCACTGTCTTCTACATGTACTTACTGCTCTTGCAGTCTGATGACATAATCCTCCATATACTACTTTTTTTTCTCTCTCTTCAGGTTAAAGAATGTTCATTTTATGTGTAGTATTCTGAAATTCCACAGTGCTATGCCTTGTTGGCCTTGTTGTTGGTCTTCATTTGCTACTATGAGCACTGAGTGGACCCTTTAAACACACAGACTCGTTCTTTCAGTTTGAAAAATTTTCTTTATGTTGTGTCTTTGATAATTCCCTCATTTCCATTTTCTTTATTCTTTATTTTTTTGGAACTCCTACTAATCAGATATTGAAAGTCCTGAATTTTCTTTTCTTCTTTTTCTTTTTTTTCTTTCTTTCTTTTTTTTTTTTAATAGAGATAGGGGCCTCACTTTGTTGCCCAAGGTGGTCTCAAATTCCTGGCTTCAAGTCATCCTCTGGCCTTAAAGTGTTGGGATTACAGGCATGAGTCACTGCACCTGGCCCAAACTTCCTGGATTTTCTTACATTTTTTTCTTATATTTCACTGCCTTTTGTTGTTGTTGTTCTATTTTCTTAAGGTTTTCATTTGTCGTTTTTTTCTAAAAGGACTTTTTTGTGGGGAGGGTTCCCAAATTATCCTTTTTAAAATATAGCATCTTATTTCTTTGCTACAAAGTAACATTGTTTTTTGTTGTGAGGATGCTATATCTTCTCTTGTTTCTCTGAGAATATTACTGATTTTTTAAAAAGATTTTCTTTTCTTCTTCTTGCCCTATCTCAATATTCTCTGGGTTCCTTTTCCATATTAGGTTGATTGAACCTGTGCCTCTCATGTCAAGGGGTCATTTTCAAACATCTAGAGATCTTTGGCTAATCACCCACATTTCAGGTTAAGGCAGTATAAAGCTTATTGGCTAGTTTTATTCTCAATTACCTGGGTAAAAAGCTGACTTTTTGGTTGGGGGATCCCAAGGCTATTCAATTTTTCGATGAAGAAATCCCCTGATCTCCTGTCCGATAGGGCATAGGTCTGATTGTTGGCATTTCGGGAAAAGAACAAATGAACTCAGGGTGTCACCTTCAGTATCTGAAGTTAACCCTCCCCCATCACCATCTGCTGAGCTGGTGTCTCCTATCCCAGAGCTTCTCTAATTCAGTATATCCAGAGACTAAACATCTAGTTTGTGGTGGGAGATAAGAAGGCATTTGTAGGAGAGTCTACCTACTCTGAGTATAGATTTTTCAGAGTTTCCCTCTGTTTCCAGCAGTCTTGTCTTGCTCCTTACTTTAACTGTTTACCAGAGTCCTGAAACAATTCTATTTGCTTCTCTTGGTATTCCCTTCTGCAGGCATTTAGGTTGCAGCTTACTTTGCTCTACTAATTTAATTATTGCTCCTCTGTGTTCCATCATCTTCCAAATATTTGTTTAAATTCTTTGCCTGAAGCTGGGCATGGTGGCACACACCTGCAGTCCCAGCCTACTCAGGAGGGTGAGGTGAGAGGACCACATGAACCCAGGAATTCAAGGCTGCAGTGAGCTAGGATGGCACCACTGCACTTTAGCCTGGGTGACAGAGCACGACCCTGTCTCTAAAAAATAAACAAACAAATAAATAAATTCCTTGTCTGCTATTGTCCCCTCTACCACTGTCTCCAAATCTGCCATTTTAGTCAGAATTTCCTGAGGCTATAAATGAATGTAATCCTCAGCCTCAGTATCAGTTATAGTACCCACCATTATTGTGATTATTGCATGATTGTTAAACATGATTTGCCATCATTTTCTATTCAGTGATATCATTTATAAGGAAAAAGCCTAGTAGGGTGAGCAGATATGGAAACAATTTTAAGTTCATTCCTATTACGGCACATTCTTATTGTAGTCTGGGACCATAAGTAGGTATTTTGGTAATGTTTTCTTTTCATAAAAAAGAAAAATATATATATTGAGGCAGAGTCTCACTATGTTGCCCAGAATGGCCTTGAACTCCTGGACTTAAGCAATCCTCCTGCCTCAGCCTCCCAAGTAGCTGGGGCTACAGACATGCAACACCATGCCCCATTCTTTTCCACTTCTAATAATCTGAAATAGTGCCCATCATTCATTCATTCATTTACTAAACAAATATTTACTATTGCCCTGGTACTGGACTAATTTCTGGAAAAGACAAAGGTGAGTGAGACCATCTCTTCAATAGCTCAGTGACTTGAAAAGACAGGCTTCTCCAGAAATAATCATCACAAAGTGAGATAAATTCCAGAATAATGATTTGGGCATGTGCTTAAAGAACAAACGATGGAGAACTATATGCCTATGAGAGCTCTACAAGGATTTTCTGAAGTTACTTTTATTTTTTTCAAATTATTTATTTTTAAAAATTGACATATAAAATTCTATGTATTTAATATGTACAATATAATGTTTTGAATATATACACATTGTGGAATGATTCAATCTAGCTAATCAACAAATCTATTACTTCACAGTTATCATTTCTGTGGTGAGAACAATTAGCATTTTTAAACTCTTTTAGCATTTTTCAAGAACATAATATATCTTCATTAACTAGTCACCATTCTGCACATGAACTTATTCATTCTAACTACAATTGTGTATTATTTGACCAACATCTTCCCAATATCTCCTCTCTCACTCCCCACAACCCCAGCCTTTGGTAATCATCATTCTACTCTCTATTTCTACGGAATAAAATTTTTAGATTCCACATATAAGTGAGATCATGTGGTATTTGTCTTTCTGCGCCTGGCTTATTTCACTTAACCTAATGTCCTTCAGATTTACCCATGTTGTTGCAAATGACAAGATTTCTTTTTATGGCTGAATAGTATTTTATTTTATATAAGTACAATATTTTCTTTATCCTGGTTGATTTTTATATCTGGCTATTGTGAATAGTGTTGCAATAAACATGAGAGGCCAGATATCTTTTTGAGGTACTGATTTCATTACCTTTGGATATATACCCCTTAGCTGGATTGCTGGATCTTATGCTAGCTCTATTTTTAATTTTTTTAGGGACCCCTAAATTGTTTTCTACAATAGCCATACAAATTTACATGCCCCACAACAGTGTGCAAGGGTTCCTTTTTCTCCACATCCTCACCAACACTTGTTTATCTTTTGCATTTTTAATGGTAGCCTTTCTAATAGGAGTGTAGGGTGTTATTGTGGTTTTTATTTGCATTTGCTTGATTCCTTAATGATTAATAATGTTGAGATTTTGCATACTTGTCCATTGTGTGTTTTCTTTTGAAAAAAAAAATGTCTATTCACATCTTTGGCCCATTTTCCAGTTGGGTGGTCTTCTTGCTATTAAATTGTTTACATTCCTTATATATTTTGAGTATTAACCTCTTAGGTGTATAGTTTGCAAATATTTTCTCCCATTCTATACATTGCCTCTTCACTCTGTTGATTATTTCCTTTGCTATGAAGATTTTTAGTTTGATGTAATCCCATTTGTCTATGTTTGCATTTGTTGCCCTGAGGTGAATTTTAAATTATATCTTAAACAATGAGTAGAACACTCTCAGGTAAAGAAGACTAGTGAAGAGAAAAACAGCAAACTATCGGAAATCTTCAGAGGGTTACTTATCAGGTAATCTCTCTCTAAAGCTTTTAAAGGAATACATATAGTTAAAGAAAAGGCAAATATTAATAGTATATCTTTGGTTCCTATCCTTTAGAGCATCTTTACTGGATTCTTTCACAAATAAGGCACAGATGTCATGTCCAGTATCTTTGAATTACTATTTATCTGAACTTCAGCTCATCTTTAGTTCATGCAACACCATGACAGACTAAGAGACTGAACACTGCAGTCATATGAGGGTTCGAGTCTGAAGTCAAATGAAAATGAGTCATGTAACAGTTCAAATTTTTAAGGCATACATATGGCCAGTCTTGGTGGCTCAAGCCTGTAATCCCAGCATTTTGGGAGGCTGAGGTGAGAGGATTGCTTGAGCCCAGGAGTTCAAGACCACCCTGGGCAACATAGGGAGACCCTATCTCTATAATTAATTAATTAATTAGGCATACATACAGTACCATAGTAAAAGGAAAGCAAAATAATCATGAAAACAAGATTCACAATAGTGATTACCTTGGATGCAGTGGGGGATAAGAGTGTTTTAGTCTGTTTTGTGCTGCTATAACAGACTACCTGAGACTGGGTAATTTATAAAGAATAGAAATTTCCTTTTCATGGTTCTGGAGGCTGGAAAGTCCAAGATCAAGACACTGGCAGGTCAGGGCTCAGTCTCTCTGCTTCCAACATAGCACCTTGAATGCTGCATCCTTCGGAGGGGAGGAACACCATGTCCTCATATAGCAGAAGAGAGAGAAAGCCTACTCTAACAAGTCTTTTTTTTTTTTTTTTTTGAGATGGAGTCTTGCTCTGTCTCCCAGGCTGGAGTGCAGTGGCCCAATCTTAGATCACTGCAAATGCCACCTCCTGGGTTCAAGTGATTCTCATGCCTCAGCCATCCGAGGACTACAAGCATGTGCCACCATGCCCAGCTAATTTTTTGTATTTTTAGTAGAGACAGGATTTCACCATGTTGGCCAGGCTGGCCTTGAACTCCTGACCTCAAGTGATCTGCCCACCTTGGCCTCCCAAAGTGCTGGGATTACAGGCATGAGCCACCACGACCAGTCTCACAAGCCATTTTTATAGGCACATTAATGCATTCATGATGGTCCATCCCTCATGACCTAAACACCTCCCATTAGGCCCCACATTCTAACACTGTTGTATTGAAGATTAGGTTTCTAACACAAGAATTTGGGGAAACACATTCAAATCAAAGCAGGAGGGAACAAGATAAGGAAGAACCACAGAGGTGGATGTAAATTATTGTCTGTGCTCTAGTTTTCCTGTGGTAGACTCATAAATGGTCATTTTCTTATTTGCAATATATAAAATTATTAAAATAAAAGGTTTGAGCCAGGCGCTGTAGCTCAGGCCTATTAATCCCAGCTATCCAGGAGGCTGAGGCAGGAGGATTTATTGAGCCCAGGAGTTTGAAACCAGCTTGAGCAACATAGCAAGACCCCATCTCTAAAAAAATAAGGCCAGGTGCAGTGGCTCACACCTGTAATCCCAGCACTTTGGGAGGCTGAGATGGGAGGATCACTTGAACTAAGGAGTTTGAGACCAGTCTGGGCAACATAGTGAGACCACCTCTCTACAAAAAAAAAAAAAAAAAAAAAAATATATATATATATATATATATATATATATATATATATATATATACACATATATACACTAGCTAGGTGTGGTAGCACATGTCAGTTGTCCCAGCTACTCAGGAGGCTGAGGCAGGAGGATCCCTTGAGCCCAGGAGGTTGTGGCTGCAGTGAAACATGATGATGCCATTGCACTCCAGCCTGGACGATGGAATGAGACCCTTTCTCAACAAAATAATTTTTAAAATATTTGAGGAATAGTAAGTGAATAATAAAAATAATAATCAAAAAATATTTTAAAATAAAAATAAATAAATAAAAAATAATAAATTGGCCAGGTGTGGTGGTGCATACCTGTAGTCCCAGCTACTCAGAAGCCTGAGGCAGAAGGATTGCTTGAACCAAAGAGATCAAGACCAGCCTGGGCAACATAGTGAGACCCTGACTACACTAATAAATTAAAAAAAAAAAAAGGCCAGGCATGGTGGCTCACACCTGTAATCCTAGCACTTTGGGAGGTCAAGGCAAGAGACTGGTTTGAGCCCAGGAGTTCAACACCAGGTTGGGCAACAAAGTGAGACCCTCTCTCTAAAAAAATAGAAACCAAAACAAAATAAAATAAAACTTAGCTGGGCATGGTGGCACATGGCTGCAGTCCTAGCTATTCTGGAGGCTGAGGTGGGAGGATTGTTGGAACCAAGAATTTCAAGGCTGCAGTGAGCTACAATTATGCACTCCAGCCTGGGTGACAGCAAGACCCGATTTGTAAAAAAATAAAAAATAAAGAAGGTTGGAAGGAGAGAAGGAAGGAAGCCCTGTGTGTACAAATGATGAGACTGTGGTAGTAAACAAGAATTATGAATAATTACATTCTGTGTATCAAATGTTTGATAAGAAAAAACAAAAGAAACTGAATAATTCAAATTAGGAAGTGGAGGTAAGGCACAAAAAAAGAACAATTAGGCCCTTAATAAATAAAGTACAACTTTCAGAATGAGAAGCCAGGTGGAGTGGGTGAGGTGAGAAGCATTAGGTTTTAATCTGGGGGTAAACATATCTAACAGGGTGAGCCTGGCTGTGCTTGGTGACTCAAAAGATTTACCTGGCAAGGGAGTGAGGTGGAATGGGGCCAGCCAGTGGAAAGCTAGAATTTGTTCTGGCAGAATACACAAGGAAAGATTGGCTCTTCTGTTCTACAGCAAGTAGCTCTTCTTACAACTATGTGCTTTAGCTGGCTTCTAGGATCCCCGGAGTCCAGAAAGCATAAATGGAACCTGCTGTCTCTCTCTCCTAGCTCTATCAGGAAAACAGTCAGGATGCAACATGAGATCTATAAAGAAAGAGCCTAAATATAAGCAATGAAAAATAGGTTGGAGATATTTGAAAGAGGACGATGAGGTACTAGTCCACTAGATAATTTCCTGACTTGAAAAGGGCTCAGTGACCTGTTCTTAAGTTTTTTCAGGGCCCAGTGTGGTGGGCGAAGTGATGAGGTACTTTAAATTCAAGTCTCTCTTGCTGCAAATTGCCTGTAATTATGGCCATATAGCTTTTTCTTGGCCAACAACGGATTAGCCTGAAAGTACATTTTTGAGGCATGGAATCCTAAGAACTGTTTATCTGCTCTGGTGGTGGTGGAGTTGTAGGGCCAAGGAGAAAATACAAAGTTCACAGTTATTTATAAGACCATTTTGTGTGGAGAATGTTTTAGGGGAAAAAATGGCTTCTTACCTGTTTATATGGCACCATAATCCAATAAAATTTATAGATACCCACTGATTAAAGTTTCATAATGTTCTGGAAACTCTTTCCTAGAAGTATTGATGATATGTGAAAATACAGCAAGTTCTCAGACAACGAACTTATGTTAAAATGTTTATGTATTTAAACATATAGTGTAATACAACCAAATACTAAACATCAAGTATAGTATATTTTTTTCCTCAAACCCCCAAATTCCCAGGAAACGTCAATCCATAGAATACCTCTCTCTAAACCAATGGTATTTATTTTATTTTTTGAGGGATCCTAGGGTACCTTATGTTATGTTCAACTTTTGGATTCTTTCATTCAGCATTTAGGATTTTACTCCATATGTTAAATCTTGGAAGCAGCAAAAAATTACCTCTAATACAGCAGACTCATTATTTCATGGCTTTATTTTTCCTGGTCCCAATTCTCTACTTGCATTAGGCTATGGTCTCTTCACCACTTTCTAGGAAACCCCTTTCATGGCAGCATCTGTTCCTCTTCACCTAGGCAGTACAAGAAAGGATGTTGTTGTAGGAAATAAAACTTCATCCCTTCCTCTGGCAGTTATCATTCTGTTTCACCCTTTTCATCTGACAATTTTTCCCCCTTGTTCAGAGGGTCTCTTCCTTTTTTTCCCCTAAGTCTTCCAGTGATGTCTGTGCACTCAGTTTGAAGCCCAAATCCAGTGCATCCCTGAATTATGGTCTCACTAAATTTACAAATTGTACTTGTGCTTCCATGAAGTGGCTTGAGGGGAAAATGAATTCCTGTAACAGGTTTCTATCAACATACTCCTTTAAAGTGTGCACCCCCAATCCTGAGAAGAATTACAGCTCTTTTGCAGGAACCACGAGAGTTGTGACACATATCATTGTATAAACAGAGGCAGCTCATAGGCTCTGAAATTATTGCTTTGAAACTGTCCTCAACCAGCAACACCAGCACATGAGGGTTAAGAGAAGATTGGGAATAAAGGAACTACAGAGCTGCTTGAGAAGCTGTAAGACCTTTTCTAATATGTTCTCACTTTCGTATACTCTGGAGTGGCACTCACGCATGACATAGTCTGGGTTTCCTGCCCTAGACCCTAACAGATGTGGCTTTTAATGCTTGGGACATTAAAGACACACCCACATAGGGTACCTAACTAAAGACACACCCACATAAACAAGCCACAGCTTTCAGAAGAGTCTATGCTTAGGCATTAACATTCATGAACTCTGTTCTTCTAATGTTTGGATATAAAATATTATGTCTTGGGAAGTTGATGCTATGTGCAAAAAGATTAATTATCACGGTATCTAAGAGATAGCCCTCCTCTGGGGCATCCTCAAACTGAACAGCTAGGCAATTCTGTAGCCTCCATAAAGTTCATGAATGTTACTCACTGCCCACAAGCAGCTAACTTTTGTACGTAGTAGAACTGAAAGAAATTCAGGGCACCCAACATGGCAGGGCACTATATGCAATGAGGATTCCTGTACCAGGGTAGAAACTGATATAGTTGGGATGTTTGTCACCTCCAAATCTCAAGTTCAAATGTAATTCCCAGTGTTGCAGGTGGATTCTGGTGGGAGGTGTTTGGATCACTGGGGTGAATCCCTCTTGAATGGCTTAGCGCCATCCTCTTGGTGCTAGTCAGTTCTTGCTCTGAGTTCATGTGAGATCTGGTTGTATAAAAGTGCATGACATCTTCTCCCTCTCTCTCCATGTCACATGCTGGTTCTCCTTCACCTTCTGCCATGCTTGTAAGCTTCCTTGAGGCCTCACCAGAAGCAGATGCACTAGCATCTGCTTCTGTACATACCCTATGTGGGTGTGTTCAGTTCCTGTACAGCCTGCAGAACTGTGAGTCAATGAAACTTGTTTACTTTATAAATTACCCAGCCTCAGGTATTTCTCTCTCTCTCTCTCTCTCTCTCTCTCTCCTCTCTCTCTCTCACACTCTTTTCTTTTTTTGAGACAGGGTCTTACTCTGTCACCCAGTTGCTGACGTGCAGTGGTGCAATCATGGCTCACTGCAATCTCCGCCTCCTGGGCTCAAGTGATCCTCCCACCTTAGCCTCCTAAGTAGCTGGGACTACAGGTGTGCACCACCAGGATAATTTTTGTATTTTTTTGTAGAGACAGGGTTTCAGTGTGTTGCCCAGGCTGGTTTCAAACTCCTGGACTCAAGTGACCTGCCCCCCTCAGCCTCCCAAAATTCTGGAATTATAGGTGTGAGCCATTGTGCCCGTCTAGGTATTTCTTCATAGCAATGCAACAACGAACTAACACGGAGGCAAGGACTGAATGTAGATTACTCCAAAATGGCAGTGGAAACTCATAAGGCAAATTTCATGAGATTATAAAAAAAGTTCCAGGTGCAAATATTGTTCCAGATGAAGTTACATTCCAAACATTTGTATAAGCATAACAGTGAGGTTCAACTGTCTCCTGTCAAATGAGTAATATCCAGGAGTTTAGTATTTTAATAGGAACACTAAAGTTTAGTACTTCAATAGGAATATTTGTTCCTATTAAATAGTTATTGTGATATTCCATGATTTTATACCAGAAGGCTTTTTTTTCCTCTCTCCTGAGTGTATCTTCCCCATTATGAGTATCCTGTTACTTCAAAAGATCTTCCATTGATGAAACACTCCAGAATCAATTTTGATTATTGGCAAGCCATGATTCTTCCAGGATCTTTTTTTAAAATACTGGCTTTTTATATATTCACAACTATAAACATGTAATTTACTTTGTGTATTACAAATTTTTATTCTCTATTTACGTATCTTAGTTCAGTGCTTAATAACATTAGTAGCTTTGCTATGTGATCTGCTTGATGAAATATTGATTTGGGGTAAGTGTTCCCAGACCATCTTAGGGCATTCTATTAATATGTTCTGTTCTTTCCTCCTCCTTGCCAGGATTTCACATTTCATCTTAAAGGATTCACTGGTTCACTTCTACTATGTAAAAATGTCTTTATATCTTATATTCCCATTGTTACAATAAAAGTTTATATTATAGCAGTTGATATGCAAAGTATGTTAAGCAAATTGCATATTAGATGTTTTATTCAAATGTCAAAGTAAAACTTTGTCAGTTAAACAACTCATAACAATACCAATAAATTTCAAGTTGTCAAATTGTATGTATTGTTAAGAATTATGTCCCATTACATGGGCAGTAATCTTTTTTAAAGCCACAGAGCATGGAAATGTTTGTCTAATAACTGAAACATATGTAGCCTTCTAGCTATGTAGCAACAGTTGCCACTTGATGTTTTCCTGCATCCTATTTTCTTTTTTCCAAGATAGATATTTTGACAGAAGTGACGAAAGTCTCATCTTTCAAAAATTAAAATCACGATGTTTAATAAAACATGTTTAATGTTATTTAGAATCAACGTGATGAATTTATTCTATAAGTGTGTTTTGTTTTGAATGTTTGAAATTTTCAGCTAACACCATTGGAAGCACATACAGTTAGACTGATAAAATATTGGTAGGTTTTTGGTTTCAGAGGAAACAAATACAATTTTTATGTGACTTTGAAATTGCGAGGTGCAGTGTAGCTCATGCCTACAATCCCAGCTACTCAGGAGGCTGAAGCAGGACTGCATGAACCTAGGAATTTGAGATCAGCCTGAGTAACACAGAGACCTCATCTTAAAAAAAAAAAAAAAAAAAAAAAATTGGCATGGTGGTGTGTGCCTGTAGTACAGAAGGCTGCAGTAAGCTATGACTGAGCCACTGTAATCCAGCCTGGATGACCTAGTGAGACCCTGTCGCTAAAAAAAACAAAACCAAAAAATACAAAACAGGTTCACATTGTACTATTCTTTTCTTCTTCTTTTCTCCTTCTCTTTCTCCTTTCTCCTCCTCTTCCTCTTCTTTCTTCTTCTCCTTCTTCTTCTGCTCGTCACCCTCATCCTACCACTTCTCCTCCTTCTTCCTTCTCCTCATTCTTCTTTTCTTCTTCCTTCTCCTTCTTCTTTGCCTTCTCCTTCTTCGGCAGGGTCTCACTCTGTCACCTAGCACAGGTGCATGCCACCACATCTGGCTAATTTTTTTATTTTTTATTTTTAGAGATGGGGTCTTGCTTTTTTTGCTCAGGCTGGTCTCAAACTCCTGACTCCAAGTGATCCTCTCGCCTGGGCTTCGAAAAGTGTTGGAATTACAGGCGTGAGCCACCATGTCTGGCCTGTACTATTCTTTATACAGTATCTATTAAAAAATTATAATGCTTCTTCCTTCTTAATGTCTCATGTGTCATATCTTTTTTTCTCTTCCCATTGACATACCTATTAAGCTAGATACCAATAACTTTAGATCAGCGTAGCTACTGTAGATTTCTCATTAATCTCTCTGGTTATCTAAAAAATTTAGTCTCTTGCATATAATGGCTTTAAAATCTCTTAAAATTTTCTTAAAATTTCTGAAAATTATTTTTTCATTAGACATTTTCTTATTCACTAACTTGCTGTTCCTGGCCAAAGTAATAATTTCTTGTGAATCATATCTTGCTCTTTTTCTAACCCTGGCTCCTACCAAGTACGCTCATCCTAAATAAACATTTTTTAAAATTAATGACTTAGGGCCAGGGGTGGTGGCTCATGCCTGTAATCCCAGCACTTTGGGAAGCTGAGCCAGGTGGATCACTTGAGGTCAGGAGTTCAAGACCAGCCAGACTGACATGGTAAAACCCCATCTCTACTAAAAATACAACAATTAGCTGGGCATGGTGGCCCATGCCTGTAATCTCAGCTACTCGGGAGGCTGACGCAGAAGAATTGCTTGAACCCGGGAGGTGGAGGGAGGTTGCAGTGAGCCAAGACCGTACCACTGCACTCCAGCCTGGGCAACAGAGTGAGACCCTGTCTCAAATAAATAAATTACATTAAATAAAACAAAATTAATGACTTGGATCCATGTGCTGTGGCTCATGCCTGTAATTCCAGCATTTTGGGAGGCTGAGGCAGAAGGATCACCTGAGCCCAGGAGTTTGAGACCAGCCTGGGCAACAAAGCAAGACCATGTCTTTAAAATTAAAAAAAATAAAGTTAAAAGAAATAAAAGAGAAAAATAAATAAATAAAATTAATGACTCTAAAATTATTCTGAGTGGTGCCAGTACATAGCTGAAAGCAAGTGATACTGCAAGGGAAAAAGGAAACCAAAGAAAAATAATATGTAATAAGCTCTTACCTTATCATGTCATGTATTCCTTTAAACAACCCATGAGCTGGATATCATTATTCTCGTTTCATACATGAGAAACAGGCTAAAAAGTTAAGCGATGATCAAGTACACGTAGACTGCATATGGCAAGCCAATAATCAAAGACAGGTTGACTAAAACTTCTTGCCTCTTTCTCTGACCTCGCGTGGTGCCATCTGCGTTTTGAATTGGGAGTATTAAGTTTCTCTGCTGAGAGAGAAGAGGGAATTCCATGCTAGGCAGAGGGAACAGTATGAACAAATAGTTATGCATGTATATGCAACGTTTAGGAAAATCTGAGTTGTTGACCATTGTTAGAACACAGTTCCACCATCCCTTCCATTGGTGAATCGGGTAGAAAGACTGGGGAACCTGCTTGTGGTCTGGAGTGGGACATGGGACTTGGGGCAGAGGGTAGAATTACCCACCAGACAGCCATGGTAGTATGTATGTTACCAGGGTATTCTGGAGCAAGGTGAACTATCCCTTTTCTTTTCCTCAAAGGTAACCAATATTCTAACTTCTAAAATTTCATTTCTGAGTATACATTAATAGAATCATGCATTTATATTATTTGGTGTCCGGTATGTTTGTGGGACGCATTCACATTGTGTACATAGCTATAGTGTCTTCACTTTTACTGCTGAATGGTATTTTGCTCCATGAATATGTCACATATTATTTATCCATTCTAACTCCATTGGGGTTGCTTGCAATTTATAGCTAGGATAAATAATACTGTTAAGAACTTCCAGTGTAGCTTTGATATGCATGTTTGCATTCCTGGTGGGCGTATCCCTAAGATTTTAGGAGATTAAAATTTTAGCAGATTAATACTGTTTTTGCAAAGTTGTACCAATTTATAGTCCTACCAAAAGTGTGTGAGAGTTTCAGATCATCAACAAATTACCCAAATCAACTTTTTATCTTTTTCAATAGAGGTAGGGTCTCTCAGGCTGGAGTACAGTGGTGTGATCATAGCTCACTGTAACCTTGAATTTCTGGGCCAAGGAATCCTCCTACCTCTGCCTCCTGAGTAGCTAGGACTCCAGGTACATGCCACTATGCCTGGTTAAGTTTTTAAAAATTATGTTTTAATTTTTATGTAGAGACAGTGTCTTGCTATGTTGCCCATGCTGGTCTTGAACTCCTGGCCTCAAAGGATCCTCCTGCCTCAGTCTTCCAAAGTATTGGGATTACAGGCATGAGCCACCCCATGTGGCCCACATAACTCTTAGTATTGATATTCTTAACCATTCTGATCACTGGGTAGGGAATGTTAACTCCTTATAGTTCTAATTTCAATTCCCTTTTGACTAATGATGCTACGTACCTTTTCATATATTGATTGATCAATTGTGTATCCTATTATATGGAGTACCAAATTAAGTTTTGGGATTTTTTTTTTAACTTTTTTTTTTTTTTTTTTTTGAGACAGGGTCTCACTCTGTCACTCAGGTTGGAATACAGTGGCATGATCACAGCTCTCCATAGCCGCAGCTCCCTGGTCTCAGGTGATCCTCCCTCCTCCACCTCCCAAGTAGCTGGGGTTACAGGTGCCTGCCACCACACTCAGCTGATTTTTCTGTTTTTTTGTAGAGACGGGGTTTTATCTTGTTGCCCAGGCTGGTCTCAAACTCCTGGGCTCAAGCGATCTGCCTGCCTCAGCCTCCCAAAGTGCTAGGATTGACCACACCTGGCCAATCAAATTTCTTATCTATTTTTCTAGGTACTTTTCTTATTAATTTGTAGGGTCTCTTTGCTGTACGCACTGCAAACGTTTTTTTCGTATCTTGCCTTTCCAGTCTCTCAATTGTATCTTTCAAGAAACAGAAATTCTTAATTTTAATATTATCACTTTGTTAATATTTGCTAATCTTTTTGTTTATTGTGTTGTCTGTAATACTGATTAAGAAATATTTGCCTACAGAAATGGTAGGTTAAATAAGAAGCGTCTCCAATTGGAAATCACTTAAGGACAGGACGAAAGCAGGAACAGAAAATGAACAAATGAGGAGGGTCAGGTCATGCTCCTTTAGGTTCCCCACGTGGATGTGTTAGGATGACTTAAAGCAACAAATTTGAGATGGACACTATATCTGACGCAAGGCTCCCCTACTAGACAAGGCTCAGTGTAACTTTTCTGGGGAAGGTCCATGGAAAACAGATACATTTATGGGCAATTTTGAGATGGGAGCCTGGGTTGCAGCATGCCAGGTCACCAGGACACTGCTTTCACTATGTACTCTGATTTTTCCTGAAGCTGTAGACCCTAGATGTAGAGCAAGGTGTATGCCAGTCAGGCTTGGCATGAAGAAATGAAAGAGAGCATAAGTGGGCAG
Source organism: Homo sapiens (assembly GCF_000001405.40). Classification (NCBI taxonomy): domain Eukaryota; kingdom Metazoa; phylum Chordata; class Mammalia; order Primates; family Hominidae; genus Homo; species Homo sapiens. The sequence continues at coordinate 98,969,722 of NC_000005.10, read as the reverse complement.
AGGTAAATACAGGGAGAATACTGAAGGGTTGGTTACTTCAATGAATTACCTCAAAGAATCTCATGAAATAGTCCTCAAATTTCTCCTAGATGCAAGCGTAAATGTTTGCAAAGTCTGTAGAGCCATCCAGTGGTTTCAGTGTGATCTGTAAGCTTTCACGTTTGATACAGGTTTCTGTGTATCACTCCTTGCATATTGAAGGATATATTAGGAGTTTTATCAGTTTTATCAGTTTTAACAGTCAAACTGGCTTCTGAAAAAAAGCGGAAAGGGGAATTTGCTTATTTAATTTAAAAAAAAAAAGTTTAGGCCGGGCATGGTGGCTCACGATTATATTCCCAGCACTTTGGGAGGCTGAGGCGGGTGAATCACGAGGTCAGGGGTTTGAGACCAGTCTGGCCAACATGGTGAAACCCGTCCCTACTAAAAATACAAAAAATTAGCTGGGTGTGGTGGCAGGCCCCTGTAATACCAGCTACTCAGGAGACTGAGGCAGGAGAATCGCTTGAACCCGGGAGGCGGAGGGTGCAGTGAGCTGAGATCGTGCCACTGCCCTCCAGCCTGGGTGACAGTGCAAGATTCCGTTTCAAAAAAAAAAAAAAGTTTATGATTTCAGGTATGATTAGATCCAGGCACTCAAAGACAAATAACCAGGACTCATTGTCTCTCTCAGGCTCTTACTCTCTCTCTAGCTGTTTCTGAAGTGTGTATTTATTAGTCAATATATTAGCATACATTGACACAGTGTAGCATAGCGGTACTGAACATGGGTTCTAGATCTAGACTGCCTAGGTACAAATCTCAGCTTTGCCATTAGCTGTAAAACTTTGGGCAAGACATTTATTCTTATTGACCTCATCTCCAGCTTGTGGATGATCAATGTGGACCCTGTTTCTAAGAGTTACTGTAGAATTAAATGATCAATTGTGATGAACACATAGTAATTGCTCAATTGATATTAACTAGTCATTTCTTGGTTCCCTTTCCTAAGCATTATCTTCAGTCTCAGATAGGCTCACCTCAGGCTCTCCACACATGATAGCAAAAGTGCAACCAGCAGCTCAAAATTTTTTAGGTTTAAACCTGTTGTGAAGAGAGCTATTCTGCCCCCAACAATTCCAACATACAGCTCAGAAATGGGTTTCATGCCTTTGATTTGCCTGTTTCCTGTTATACATTTATCTATGACCCAAGCACTGTGGCAAGGCTAATGAGATTCTCTGACTGGCTTACATAATTTCGTCTGGATTAAAGGTGGAGGGATCAGTCCCAACCTAACGATGTGGAATGGTAACCAAAGAAAGACAGTGCCCTAAGCAAAAATCTGGTGCATTTACCATAAGAATGACAATGTGCTGACTATGCTAAAACATTAGATGTCCAAGAGCAGAGTGGATCCTGTAGGTTTTCTTAAGCAGCTTATCCCACTATCAATCAGAGGCTGGTTCTTAGAGGGGCAGGGAAGTGGGGATTTAGGGATGGAAGCTGTAACGGTAATGACTGCTGGGATTAGCTGAATGGGTAGAGCAACACATTCTGCAAATTCTATTCTAGTGAATTATGCCTTGGGCCTGTATAGTACGTAGAAGTGTAAATGATCTAGAACCCAGTGCAGTAATTGGCCTATGATGGTGGGTTACTGACAAATGGATACTGAGATGGAGAACTTTGAGCAGTGGCTGCTGCAAGTTTGAGGAAAAAAGTGCTCACTGGTAGGATAGCAGTGTTAGACTTGGCAGTTTTTCTTTTTTTTTAATTTTATTTCATTGTTGTAAGAACACTTACCATGAGATCTACCTTTTTAACAAATGTTTAAGTGTACAATAACAGTGTTTTTGATTACAGGCACAATGTTGTACAGCAGATCTATACAACTTGCTCATCTTGCTTAAATGAAACTTCATGCCTATTGATTAATAATACCCCATTTCTCCTTCCTCCACTCCTGGAAACTACCATTCCTTCCTTGAATTTCCAGATTTGACTATTTTAGATACCTCAAATAAGTGAAATCATGCAGTATTTGTCCTTCTGTGACTGGCTTGCTTTGCTTAATGTAATGTCCTCAAGGTTCATCCAGTGGTTGCATATTGTAGAATTCCCTTCTTTTTTAGGGCTGAATAATATTTTACCATTTGTATGTACCACACTTTAAAAATCCATTCATCTTTCCATGAACATTTAGGTTATAGCCTCATCTTGGTTATGGTGAAATAGTGCTGTAATGAACACAGGAGTGCTAACATCTTTGAGATCCTGATTTCAATTGTTTTGGATATACAGTCAGAAGTGGGATTGCAGAATCACACAGTAGTCCCATTTTTTAAATTTTTTGAGGAAGCTCTCTATTGTTTTCCACTGCAACTGCACCATTTTACATTCCCACTAACAAGGGTTCCAGTTTCTCCACATTCTTGCCAACCCTTGTTTTTTGTTTCCTTTGATAGTAACCATCCTGACAGGTGTGAGGTGGTATCTCATTGTCGTTTTAAATTGCATGTCCCTGATTTATGACATTGAGCATTTGTTTTTCACATATCTGTTGGCCATTTGCATGTCTTCTTTGGAAAAATGTCTGTTCAAGTCCTTAGACCATTTTTTAAAATCTGGTTATCCATTTTCTTACTATTGAGTTGTAGGAAATCACTGTATATTTTGGAGATTAACCTTTATCAGAATGTGGTTTGCAAATATCTTCTTCTATTGTGTAAGTTGCTTTTTCACTTTGTTGATTGTTTCCCTTGCTGTGCAGGTTTATGTACCTTGATGTAGTCCCACTTATTTTTGTTTTTGCTGCCTGTCTTTTTGGTGTTGTATATACAAAATCATTGCCGATCAATGTCATGAAGGTTTTCCCCTAAGTTTTCTTCTAGGAGTTTTACTGTTTCAGGCCTTACATTTAAATCTTTAATTTATTTTGAGCTGATTTTTGTATATGTATTTTTGTATATGTGTTTTTGTATATATGTTTTGATTACTGTAGTTTTGTAATATATTTTGAAGTCAGGATGTGGGATGCTTCCAGCTTTGTTCTTTTCCAAGATTGATTTGGCTATTCGTGGTCTTTTGTGGTTCCACATGAATTTTAGAATTTTTTTTCTATTTCTGTAAAAAAAAAATGCCATTGGGATTTTGACAGGGATTGCATTAAATCTGAATTGTTTTGTATAGTATGAATATTTTAACAATTTTAAACCTTCCAGTCCATGAATACAGTATCATTCCATTTATGTATGTCTTCTTTATTTCATCAATGTTTTATAGTTTTCAGTGTATGTCTTTTACCTCCTTAATTAAGTTTATTCCTAAGTATTTTATTATTTTTGGTGCTGTTGTAAATGGGATTGTTTTCCTAATTTTCTTTTCAGATACAAAATAATTAAACAATGTGATTTGCCACATCAACAGATAAAATCCATATGATCATTTCAATAGATGCCAAAAAAGCATTTTATGAGATTCAACATCCTTCTGTGATTAAAAAAAAAAAACCCACAGACTCTCTCTACTACAATTTGGGATTTTTAAAAAATTTTAAAAAGGGAAGAGAAGTGAAGTACCTCAACATAATAAAGTATATATATGAAAAGCCAACAGCTAACATCATATTCATCAGTGGAAAACTGAAAGCTTTTTCTCTAAGATCAGGAACAAGGCAAATATGCCCACTTTCACCACTTCAATTCAACAAAGTACTAGAAGTCCTAGCCAGAGCAACGTGGCAAGAAAAAGAAATAAGAAATATCCACATCGAAAAGGAAGAAGTAAAGTTGTCCCTCTTTGTGAGCAACATCTTATGTATAGAAAATCCTTTAAAAATGCCATAAAAAAACTCTTCGAACTAATAAATCCAGAGAGTTGCAGGATACAAAACCAACATATGAAAAATTAGTTGCATTTCTATACACTAAAAACAAACTATTCTGTTGTTTAAGCCACCCAATCTATGATATTCCATTATAGCACCCTGAACTGACTGAGATAATGCCTAACTAGCAAGAGACTGAAAATGTTACTTTTTGGATTCCATATTTATGCACTCAAAAATATTTACTGTGTACTTATTATGTGCCAGGAACCTTTTTAAGGTGCTGGGGCTGGAGTGATGGCTCATGCCTATAATCCCAGCACTTTGTGAGGCTGAGGTGGGCAGATTGCTTGAACCCAGGAGCTCGAGACCAGCTTGGGCAACATGCGAAATCCCATCTCTACAAAAAATACAAAATTAGCTGGGTGTGGTGGCGTGCAGTTGCAATTTCAGCTTCTGAGGGGGCTGAAGTGTGAGGATCACATGAGCCTGGGAAGGCTGAGGCTGCAGTGAGCTGTGATCATGCTACTGCAATCTAGCCTGAGTAACAGAGTGAGTCTTTGTCTTAAAAAAAAAACAAAAAAAAAACAAAAAAAAAAGATGCTCGGAATAAGAATAACTTCTCAAACTTGAATGAATTTAAAAAGAAAAAGAAAAAAAGATGCTGGGACTGTTTCTGTGAACAGTAGATAAAAATTCCTGCCCTTGTTGAGCACATATTCTAGTAGGAGAAGACAGACATTAAATAAGTAAAACAGTATGAAGGGAAATGTCATGTCTGGTATTCACTTTAAAACATTTCAGAAAAAAGCCCAAACAAAGCAAAACAAAATGATGAGGGTATAGATTAAATGATGGGTAAAATATTAATAATTATTGAAGCTTGGTGATGGGAACATATGAGATTCATTATATTATTCATACATACACACTGTTGTTTGTGATAAATGCTATGTAGAAGTGTAAAGCAGAACAGGAGAAACAGGAGTGCTTGGGGTAAATTATAGTGTGGTTAGGGAAGGCCTGCTGAAAGGTGACATTTCAGCAAAGACCATATGGATGGGGTCACACATTTACTCACTAAACTTGAATGTACAATGACAATGAGGTCTTTTCATTTACTATAACCTCTTAGTCCCCTCTGGGTACTAAGGATATAGCAGTCAACAATCTCATCTTCCTTTTTAGTTCCTCCCCTTTTGGGAGGCAAGGAAGAAAAAAATCTAAATTTAACCCAGCCTGGAAAAACCTCAGCTTAATCTACTTGTTGCTTCAAAGGTAGGATGGGGGAAACTGATGAGACAATGTGGAGACACAAAATTCTATTATCTTTATTGAACACAACAACCTTGTCGGTTAATTATAACATGTCTACAGCACCTAGGCATTTTCTCTAAGTATGCAAGTCTGTACATTTTTTTTTTGAGATGGAGTTTTCACTCTTGTTGCCCAGGCTGGAGTGCAATGGCGCCATCTCAGCTCACCACAACCTCCACCTCCTGGGTTCAAGTGAGTCTCCTGCCTCAGCCTCCCGAGTAGCTGGGATTACAGGCATGCGCCACCACACCAGGCTAATTTTTTGTATTTTTAGTAGAGACAGGGTTTCACCATGTTGGTCAGGTTGGTCTCGAACTCCCGACCAGGTGATCCACCCGCCTTGGCCTCCCAAAGTGCTGGGATTACAGGCGTGAGCCAGTGCGCCCGGCCTACAAGTCTGTACACTTTTATGCCTACCTCATGTTTATCATTTTCATGGTCTCATCTTTCTTGCACAACTTTCCACCTGCAGCCACCACCACCCAACCCACCACAAACACAAGTGCTCCCCACTCTTTCCCTCAAGGTGACAGTAACTAGACCACAGGTTGCTCCACCACTGGTTACCAATTACTTCATTTTCTTACTTCTTTCTTTTTATAATATCATTATCATAAGGAGGAATTTCACTGCCCAGGTCATCAGGAGGGACCCACACAGAGCAATGTCAGTTATAGCCAGTTCTTCTTTGGTCAAACACCAGCTGTGGTTTTAGCTTATCCTGTGCTTATCCCTGTAAGAATGTAAACATTCTGCAGTTGCCTCATCCTTATCTATTTTTTTACTATGTCTTGGTGACCTTACAGTTCCCCCTGAATGCAGTGACTTCAAACTTTCAGCTTTTAATAAGCGACATCAAATAATTCTATTCTTCACTGTAAGATATTTTCCCTCTGATCAAAACCTACCCAACACCAAGAATTTGAACATTCTGATTCTTCAGATCCTTTCCCTAAGCACGGCCCCCACCCCTGCCCATCCCCAACCCTCCCCCCAGCAGAAGCAGAATTAACTTCTTTTTCTGTCTCACTGAATTCTCCCTTTTGAAAAATCCTAGGTGGTATTTTTTTAATGCACATCACAGTTCAGTGTGCTGTGAATAGTGTATTAAAAAGAAATAAAATTGTAGTGGATAGAATATATCAAAATGCATGTTAAATTTTTGTTTCAGTGATAATGCATATGTGTGTGTGTATGTATATTATGATCCAGTTCACATGTACGTATAATATTCGGTCTAGGTACATGTGAACTGGGTCACAATATGATGTTTCCTATTGTGGGCAGTGGTGATGTGAGAGCCTAATAGCTATCAGGCCTAGCCTTTGATGTGTTAATGCCAGCAAAAGGAGTTTGGGAAACCCTTTCATTCTCCAGGTTTGCAAGATAATTCTCTTCTTAGAGAGGTCAGGAAAGTCAGCTTTGAGTCTCAAAGCTAATCAGCATCCTTTCTGGTGTAGCTTCCTTTGTGTAATAATCCTCTGGCTCCTTTTGTGTAATAAGCCTCAAACCAAGGAAAAGGAAAGCTGTGAAGATTACATTGTATCCTTATAATATCGTAAAATATCACCCTACTATACATATCAATTATGAGTCTCAGGCTTTCATATGAATTTGCAGTTGCTTAAGCAAGGAAGGCTGTTTTTGTTTTTGTTTTTTACAATTGATCCCAAGATATGTTTGAAGAGGGTGAAGTAGCAATGGCTTACAGAACCCTTGGACAACTATGGGAGGAGATGCTGGTACAATCTACTGGACAAACAGTCTCTCTCCCTCTTTAACAAACTAGGTCAGCCAGGTGAGAAAGTGTAAATATTGTGGTTATTCCCCTCCCTCATCTCTGAGCTTCAACAGATGCACTTTTCCCACTAGAATGTAAACTCTATGAGAATAGTAATTTTTGTTGACTGCTACATCCTTAGTACCCAGAGGCTTCAGCTCAGAGTATGAGAATGATAACATCACCTGCAGGGGTCCAGAGTACAGCCAGCCAAGTCTGTATCCTACAGGATAGATAGGATGGATACAAGAGCCCAAACACACACATAAATGCCAATTCGAAGTAAAAGAGACAGAATAAGAACTCAGGATATGTAATGGATCAGAAACAGGGAAGTGGGGCCCAAATTGGTTTTCACAAATACCGCTGGATACAGTTTCTTTTACAGACTGTAAAGGTAGGTGGTATGTGGTGAGTTACACCAAAAAACTGGGAGGATGGTTAAAGAACTAAAATTGAATATCTAGGTAGCCTTTCAGACCAAAAAAGAAAATAAAATGACAAGACTTAAGTAAAGCAGTAGAAAAAATAGATTTTACATTTCTGATTAGAATTTTCAAGATTTGGTGATCAATCAGTATAACATATGGGAAGATTAACAATGGTTAGATCATTTACTTTAGGGGAACTGGGCAGATAGTGACTGTATTAAAACATAGAGACTATATGGGGAAGTGGTTTAGATGGTAATGAGTTTAGTTTTGGACACAATAAATTTGAAGTGTCTGTCAAAAATTCAAGTTGAGAGGTCAAATAGGCTTAGAAAATTCTTATCTAAACCTCAGAAAATGGTTAGAATTGGAGCTAAAGATTTAGGAATCCACGTGTGTATAGGTGCTAATTAAATTCATAGGACTTACCTGAATAGAAAAGATGGTTTATAATTTTTTTTTAAGAGACTGGATCTCGCTATATTGCCCAGGCTTGTCTCAGACTCCTGGCCTCAACTGATCCTCCCATGTCAGCCTCCCAAAGCGCTGGGATTACAGATGTACACCACCACATCTGGCCTCTTTATGCAATTATAGAGAGAAAAGTGGGTAAAGAATGGAAGGATGAGGTAGTCTAACATTCAGAGGTAATTAAATGATAATCCAATGTAAGGACTATAGAAAAAATAGAACCAGTAGTATTATATAAGAAAATGAATTTAATATCCAAGCCTTGTTTTCCTGGCCTTTCTCCCATGATTATGCCACATGTGATAGGCAAAATTAATCAACTCATTCAAACTTCTTCTTTTTTCTCCTTCCATTTCCACACACACATATTTGTAAGCAGCTGCAAGTTGGGATCCCAGGAAATAGACTGAGATTCTGAGGTGCGCATGTAGGAGGTTTGTTGTGGAAAGGAGGGTTTCTCTCAGGAACATGATCTGTGAGAGGTAAGGAAGTAGGATTAGAGAGGGAGAAATTGAACTGTGATGAAGTTACAACAGAGGCCTCAGTTGACCCACGGGAGCTCTGAAGCCCCTTCAGAGAAGTTCTAAATTAAAGCCAAGGGTCCAGGCCTTTGTATTCCCACATTGATAGTGGGGGTGTAAACTTAGGTGAAGCAGCTTCTTTATGTAAAGAACAATTTCACAAGAAGAATGTAGCTGCCAGCAGTCAGCAGCCAACACTCTGGGCAAACGGGCGCTAAGTGTCTTAGTCCTTAAGGGGCTAGAATTGGGGGGTGCGGTGGGGGTCATACCTCATCATCCACCATAGAACCTGATTTGTAGCTTTGCAAGTGTGTGTGTGTGTGTGTGTGTGTGCATGTGTGTGTATTTAGTGAATCTCTGGTTGGTCAGTAAGTGGATCATAAAAAATGATTACTGACGACCAAAGTATTCTCGTGATATAACAAATATGTTGGTAAACTGACTAACTACACCTGCTGCTGGTGAGAATAATTCTTCAATTCATCTCTGAGGCAGAGACAAACCTGCGTGGGAAAACCAAGGTTGAGGGAACTCATCTTTTAACTAAGAGAAACAAGTACATAAAAATGTCTCTCCTCATGCTTCTGATCTTCAGTTTCCTCAGGTTATAGCATTAAAGTGAGTACTACAATATTGAGAACAAACACAAATACAGTTTTTGTCAGAAATGTTCAAAGCCTATATAAAGAATAATTTTTAACAGACGTATAGATGTCATTATAACGTGCTGTAAATAATGACTTTTAGAAATCGTCCAAACTTGGCCGGGCATGGTGGCTCATACCTGTAATCCCAGAACTTTCAGAGGCTGAGGCGGATGGATCACCCGAGGTCAGGAGTTTGAGACCAGCATGACCAACATGGTGAAACCCTGTCTCTTCTAAAAATACAAAAATTAGCCAGGCATAGTGGCACATGCTTGTAATCCCAGCTACTTGGGCGGCTGAGACAAGAGAATGGCTTGAACCTGGGAGGCGGAGGTTGCAATGAGCTAAGATCACGCCACTGCACACCAGCATGGGCAACAAGAGTGAAAGTCCGTCTCAAAAAATAAAATCAATCAATCAATCAATCAATCAATCACCTAAACGTATTACTATAGTACAAAGCAAACCTAAGAGTTTTATGCAATATGCTGCTGGGTTATCTCAAATACTCTGTAAATAATTAAGATGTATGCAAATATTAACATATCAAGAGGAGAAAAACAGCAAATGAGAATTAGGATATAGGAGCAGGAAAAGTCATCAGGTTTGTTTGGGAATTTGATAATGTAAATGATTTTTGAATTATCTTTTGAATTTCTAGGTAATTCTGAAGCATAAACTCTGCCATCAAGTGGCTAGGTAGTGTTGGACATGTCATGTAAGCTTTTCAGGCTTTACTTTTCTTATCTATAAAATGAGACGGTTAGACAGTTACTTAGGACCCTCCACGTTCTAAGGGTTATATCAGAGGTATAAATGATGTGTCAGCAGAGTTTAAATAGTATGTACTGGCTGGGTGCAGTGGCTCATGCCTGTAATCCCAACAGTTTGGGAGGCCAAGACAGGCAGATCAACTGAGGTCAGGAGTTCGAGACCAGCCTGGCCAACATGGCGAAACCCTGTCTCTACTAAAAATATAAAAATCAGGCGGGCATGGTGGCATGAGCCTGTAGTCCCAGCTACTTGGGAGGCTGAGGCATGAGAACTGCTTGAACCAGGGAGGCAGAGGTTGTGGTGAGCCGAAATTGTGCCACTTCACTCCAGCCTGGGTGACAGAGTGAGACTCTGTCTCAAAAAAAAAAAAAAAAAAAAAAAAGTATGTACCATGTGTTACTGAACTAAGTGTTTTTAAAGCAGAATTAAAGGACTTTTGCCTCTGAAATATATGTAGGCTATAGAATTCTTAAAAATAGTCTATGGCTGCCCTCTTATTAATAATATAGTAAAGATAAGAAATAAACCAAATATAAAGAGTTTTTATTTTAAACTAATTTATAAGCTCTCCCCCAACAAATATTCATTTACTCAGAAAGAAGGAAGTATATAAAAATACTATGTTTATGTACATTTGATTGAACATTGTAATTTCTTTTTTTAGAGAGATGAGGGTTTCACTCTTACCCGGGCTGGAGTGCAGTGGCATGATTATAGGTTACTGCAGGCTTGAACTCCTAGGCCCAAATGATCCTCCTGCCTCAGCCTCCCAAGCGCCTTGGAATACGTGCACGTGCTGCCACCCACCTGACTAATTGATACTTTTTTTTTTATAGAGGCAGGGTCTTGGTATGTTGCTAAGGCTGGCCTAGAACTCTTGGGTTCAAGCAAGCCTCCTGCCTCAGCCTCCCAGTATCTGAGATTACAGGTGCAAGCCGATTCCAAACATTGTAAATGTTTACAGTTAATGTGTAAGCCCATGGCTCTCACCGCATTAAGAAATTGACCCAAGGGAATAATAGGCAACATATTAGGCATCGTGAATTCATGGCATTGAATGTAATACTTACAAAGCATAAAAACATTTTTTTTTTTTTGAGACGGAGTTTTGCTCTTGTTGCCCAGGCTGGAGTGCAATGGCGCAATCTCGGCTCACCGAAACCTCTGCCTCCCGGGTTCAAGTGATTCTCCTGCCTCAGCCTCCCAAGTAGCTGGGATTACAGGCGCCCGCCATCACGCCCGGCTAGTTTTTTGTATTTTTTAGTAGATATGGGTTTTTACCATGTTGGCCAGGCTGGTCTCGACTCCTGACCTCAGGTGATTCATCCGCCTTGGCCTCCCAGAGTGCTGGTATTACAGGCGTGAGCCACCACGCCCGACCCATAAAAACATTATAAAATGCCATAGAAATTTATGAGTGAAGTTGATCTAGTCACTATTTTGCCTCTGAAAACGCAGCAAGGAAAATTCTATTATGTAACATGCTTGCCAAAATCTTAAAAACTTTAGGAATGTGGCCAGGTGCAGTGGCTCATGCCTGTAATCCTCGCACTTTGGGAGGCTGAGATGGGCAGATTTCTTGAGCCCAGGGGTTCAAGACCAGCCTGGGCAACATGACAAATACCCATCTCTACAAAAAATACAAAATTTAGCTGGGTGTGGTAGTATGGGCCTGTAGTCCCAGCTACTTGGGTAACTGAGGCAGGAGGATCCCTTGAGCCTGGGAGGTCAAGGCTGCAGTGAGCTGTGTTTGCACCACTGCTCTCCGGCCTGGGTGACAAAGTGAGACCTTGTTTCTTTTTATATAAACAGAGTGTCACTCTATTGCCCAGGCTCATCTTGAACTCCTGGGCTCAAGCAATCTTCCCACCTTGGCCTCCCAAAGTGCTGGGATTACAGGTGTGAGCCACTGTGTCCAGCCCCAATATCCTTAATGTCTCCTGACAACAAGTGGCAGCTTCTTTTGTTCTTTTTTAATTTTTTTTTAATTTGGTTTTCGTTGTTGCTGTTGTTTTATTCTGAGCACCAGAAATTAGGATTTTAAAACTGCAACAAATTCCCTTACGTCTACATCCAGAAATATAACTATTTAATTCATTCACTTAACAACTTAAAAAAACAGATACAATTCACGTACCATAAAATACACTCTTTTAAAGTATACAATTCAGTGGTTTTTAGCATAGTCATAAGGAACAACTATTTATTGAATGCCTACTATGTGCCAAGTTTCTATTCAACTTGATATTCATGAACTAGAAGTCAGAGTTTTCAAATATGTAACAACATGAACATTCCTTATTTGTGTCAGATAAACTAGGCAATGTTGAAATAATTATTGGTTCATGATCAGGGATGAACGTAGCCAATATGAAAAATGAAATTTGCTTCTAGTGTTAAAAACAATGCCAAATACAGAGTCAAGAACTATTTCCTCTTTGGCACAGCCTGGCTTGCTCATGAACTTAGATTAAATCTCTGGCATTGATTGGACAGATGTGGAGTAATTTATCAACAGTAGCACTTGAAATCATAAAGTTTTAGAGCTGGAGGATACCTCAGAGATCATCTACATCTTATACCTCCACTATACCAATCACGGAACCAAAAACCAGAGAAAGTTAATGACCAGCTGCAAGTCTCAAACTCAGAACAAAGCTTTCAGATTCTTACCTGGTGCTTGTTCCTTATACCAGTTCCTAAACTCGATTTCTGAAGGACCCAGGATTCTTGGTGAATCCTACAGGGCTTCTAGGATAATGGATGGATGGCTGAGTGGAAGAGCCTCTGCATCCCAACCAAGCTTCAACTCTAGCATTGCTATGTTTACCTCTTTGACTTCCTAAGATTCTAAGCAAATTTTTGTTTTAAAAATAGTTCCATTGCTAAAAAATACATGAATATTTTTTGAAAATACTTTATGGAAAGTGATTCCATATTGTCCAAAGGAGAAATGTGCCTATTACTGAACATATGGTTTAAATATTCTGCCTAGAAAACTGTGCAAAACCACCTGAACATTTAACAGATTTCTTAGTAAATGGTATATGTTTTAGAAGTGAATCAATATCATGAAAATGGCCATACTGCCCAAGGTAATTTATAGATTCAATGCCACCCCCATCAAGCTACCAATGACTTTCTTCACAGAATTGGAAAAAACTACTTTAAAGTTCATATGGAACCAAAAAAGAGCCCGCATTGCCAAGTCAATCCTAAGCCTAAAGAACAAAGCTGGAGACATCATGCTACCTGACTTCAAACTGTACTACAAGGCTACAGTAACCAAAACAGCATGGTACTGGTACCAAAACAGAGATACAGACCAATGGAACAGAACAGAGCCCTCAGAAATAATGTCGCATATCTACAACCATCTGATCTTTGACAAACCTGACAAAAACAAGAAATGGGGAAAGGATTCCCTATTTAATAAATGGTGCTGGGAAAACTGGCTAGCCATATGTAGAAAGCTGAAACTGGATCCCTTCCTTACACCTTATACAAAAATTAATTCAAGATGGATTAAAGACTTAAATGTTAGACCTAAAACCATAAAAACCCTAGAAGAAAACCTAGACATTACCATTCAGGACATAGGCATGGGCAAGGACTTCATGTCTAAAACACCAAAAGCAATGGCAACAAAAGCCAAAATTGACAAATGGGATCTAATTAAACTCAAGAGTTCGGCACAGCAAAAGAAACTACCATCAGAGTGAACAGGCAACCTACAGAATGGGAGAAAATTTTTGCCATCTACTTATCTGACAAAGGGCTAACATCCAGAATCTACAATGAACTCAAACAAATTTACAAGAAAAAAACAAACAACCCCATCAAAAAGTGGGCGAAGGACATGAACAGACACTTCTCAAAAGAAGACATTTATGCAGCCAAAAGACACATGAAAAAATGCTCATCATCACTGGCCATCAGAGAAATGCAAATCAAAACCACAATGAGATACCATCTCCCACCAGTTAGAATGGCGATCATTCAAAAGTCAGGAAACAACAGGTGCTGGAGAGGATGTGGAGAAATAGGAACACTTTTACACTGTTGGTGGGACTGTAAACTAATTCAACCATTATGGAAGTCAGTGTGGCGATTCCTCAGGGATCTAGAACTAGAAATACCATTTGACCCAGCAATCCCATTACTGGGTATATACCCAAAGGATTATAAATCATGCTGCTATAAAGACACATGCACATGTATGTTTATTGCAGCACTATTCACAATAGCAAAGACTTGGAACCAAGCCAAATGTCCAACAATGATAGACTGGATTAAGAAAATGTGGCACATACACACCATGGAATACTATGCAGCCATAAAAAATGATGAGTTCATGTCCTTTGTAGGGACATGGATGAAGCTGGAAACCATCATTCTCAGCAAACTATTGCAAGGACAAAAAAACCAAACACCACATGTTCTCACTCATAGGTGGGAATTGAACAATGAGAACACGTGGACACAGGAAGGGGAACATCACACACCGGGGCCTGTTGTGGGGTGGGGGGGAGGGGGGAGAGATAGCATTAGGAGATATACCTAATGTTAAATGACGAGTTAATGGGTGCAGCACACCAACATGGCACATGTATACATATGTAACTAACCTGCACATTGTGCACATGTACCCTAAAACTTAAAGTATAATAAAAAAAATTATATTTATAATTATAAAAAAAAAGTGCTCCTCTTTTTCATGCTTGCAGAATTTTTGAAAGTAGATTGTGCATGTTTGAAAGAAAACAAAGCATTTTTACTTACCTCAAATTCAGTTACTGAAATTGCAGGAAAAAAATGATTTGGGTAGATGATTGTACTTATTAATGGAATATAAAAGTATGTACATTCAAAAACATTTTTCCATAATATCAATGGAAAATAGAGAAGCATCATCCCTAGAATCCTTGTTTTCAAAGTGTTGATCCCATTATCTGACTGGAAAACTAGACAATCCACCACCCCAGGAGGGGATGGGTGTGCTTAACCCTCCTCTTGGTTATCTCCAGGGGCACTCCAGCCCCACCCTGGCCCTTCTTGGAATTCTTCTCTTCAGGAGGCCCAGGCGACCACTGCCAAACAAAGAACAAAGAGAGAAATTGCCGTGCTTCTGGGAGTCCAGGCAGTCAATGAAGGACAGACAGGATGTTCACCACCTGCAGACCTAGATATGGTGCTAGTGGATCAGCACAGGGGCATGATGACTGGACTTGGTCACTCCTGGCTTGAAGAGCTGGGTCTGCAGTCATCTCTGCAAGAAAGCCTCAATCTTCAGGCCTAGGATGCAATCTAGTTTCATTCTGCCCCTGTACCGCACTCTGATGTGAATAAGTCACCACAGCAGGGCACTGCCTTCAAACAGATGCCATGGGTCCTTCTCAACAAGCATCAGCAGCTCCTGGGCAGCCCTGCAGATCTTGTCCAGGGTAAATTTAACCCTTCAGATGTCACGTTTGCTCTGGAGGCCATACTTGCCTATCAGTTTTAGCTCTTGGTTGAAGGGGGACTTCTCAAAGGGTCTCCCTGTGATCACACAGGTTTTCCGACCCAGCTTGGGACCACTAGTGTGTTGACTCTGCGTGTCCATCTGTGCCTCACCTAAGGGTAGGTCCCGGTTACTGCGAAAGGGGCTAGAAAAATATATTTAAAAAAATAAAATACACCACATGCGGTGGTTCAGCCTGTAATCCCTTTGGGAGGCCAAGGCAGAAAGATTGCTTGAGCCCAGGAGTTCAAGGCTGCAGTAAGCTATGATCATACCACTGCACTCCAGCCTGGGGGACAGAGTGAGGTCCTGTGTCTTAAAAAAAATATAATAAAATAAAATGTCTAAAGTCAAAGTATGTCAAGAAATAAAGATGCTTAGCTAAGTATTGTATTCAAATACATATTCTAGTACTCACTACACAACATGGTGTAACTCAGTATTAATAAAGTTATATGTCATATCATTATATAACATTTACATTATGCTTTATTGTATACATAATTTTCATTTTGGGGGTGCTGAATTTGTGTTTTCTTTGTGAAATTAAAGAATCATTTAATGATGTCATAAAGTGTGTTTGGTTGCAAAATATTTTTGAATATTACTGGTGTTCAATTTGTGAAATACATGATTAATCTCACAGCATAACCATTTGGAAAGCCAAATGATCCACTTCAGTTTGTGTGATAGTTAATACTGAGTGTCAACTTGATTGGGTTGAAGGATACAAAGTATTGATCCTGTGTGTGTCTGTGAGGGTGTTGCCAAAGGAGATTAACATTTGAGTCCCGGGGCTGGGAAAGGCAGACCCATTCTTAATCTGGGTGGGCACCATCTAATCGGCTGCCAGTGGGACTAGAATAAAAAAGCAGAAAGAAAAATGTGAAAAGACGAGACTGGCTACCCTCCCAGCCTACATCTTTCTCCCATGCTGGATCTTTCCTGCCCTCGAACATGGGACTCCACGTTCTTCAGTTTTGGGACTCGGACTGCATCTCCTTGATCCTCAGCCTGCAGATGGCCTATTGTGGGACCTTGTGATCATGTGAGTTAATACTTAATAAATTCCCATATATATATCCTATTAGTTCTGTCTCTCTAGAGAACCCTAATACAGTTTGTATACTTTATAAATGTGGAATTTCATATATCAGTAGTGCTAAATTAAAGTATACCTTTATATATATAATATAATATATATATTATATTACTTCAGTAAATATATTTGTTCAGTAAATATATATGTTCAGTAAATATATATATAATTCAGTAAATATTTATATATATAAATATATATATATAACTTCAGTAAATATATTTGTTCCAGAAAAGTTACATGTAAGCTGACCTTTTAAGGACATAGAACTTCACATATATATTTTCTTAATTTTTTAAAATTTTATTTTACTTTTAACTGACAAATAATTGTCTACTTTCTTATTTTTTGTCTTTAATCAGCAGTGGCTATGCTCCCACTACTTCAAGTCTTTCTGCCCTTTATACTCTCTATCAAGTAACTAATGATGTGAGAATAAATGTTTAAATATCTTAGAGCTCTCCTATTATAGCCTGTGTACACCTACATAAACACATAGGCATTCAATGCATATTTATTGATTTTCAAAAGGATAAAAGAGTTTATTTTATATATGTACCGTGCCAGTAAAGTAAATCATGTTCCAAAAGTGCTAATGGTATATGTCTTAGTCCATTTGTGTTGCTGTAACAAAATAACACAGACTGGGTAATTTATACAAAATAGAAATTTATTCCTCACAGTTCTGAAGGCTGGAAAGTCTGAGATCAAGGCACTGGCATTTGATGTCTGGTGAGGGCCTTCTCACATGGCAGAAGGCAGAAAGGTAAAAAAGGGAATGGATGCTGTGTCCTTGCATGGCAAAAGAGTGGGAGAGAGAAAATCCACTTCCGTAACCCCTTTTATGGCCTTAATCACCTTCGAACAGCCCCACATTTTATATTACCACATTGGCTAATAAATTTCAAATATTAATTCGGGGTGCGATATTCACACCACAACAGCATAAAAGGTCACTGGGATTATTTTATTCTCCTGAAGTCTTGGGACTATTTAGTTTCCCAATAAGTTTGCTCTTTTCCATGTTAAAAACACCCTAGGTCAAGTCACAGAGAACTTTTAAGGCCAAAGATTATACTACCTAGGGAGTGGTACATTCATATTACTTGCCCCTTTCTCTCAAGGGCTTTTTTTTTTTCTTGAGATGGAGTCTCGCTCTGTTGCCCAGGCTGGAGTGCAATGGCGCAATCTCCGCTCACTGCAACCTCTGCCTCCTCCCAAGTTCAAATGATTCTCCTACCTCAGCCTCTGGAGTAGCGGGGATTACAAGCACCTGCCACCATACCCAGCTAATTTTTGTATTTGTTGTAGAGACGGGGTTTCACGATGTTGGCCAGGCTGGTCTCGAACTCCTGACCTCAGGTGATCCGCCTGTCTCAGCCTTCCAAAGTGCTGTGATTACACACGTGAGCCACTGCACCCAGCTCTCAAGGGCTTTCTACATGAGTATATCTTAAACACAAAGTAGCTCAGGTGTCACTCACCTGGCCTACTGGATCCTTCCTGAAATTCTCCCTTAGACTGTCATTAGCTGTATGTATCTTCTGCTTTTTACCTAGCTATCACTTTACCTTAGGAATGAGGCCAACAAAAGGCAGGGTACAGGTGGGAGGGAACAAAGCTGTACTGCCTTTATATAACCCTAATTCTAGAGTCTTGAAGATTATTGCCTAGGGGAACTGGTCTTTACAGAGTCCAAAAGGCTTGCATGGTACCTAGAGTGCTCAACAAATTTATTAAATGTCATCAAAATGCAGTTGGGGTAAAAAGAATCAGGTATATTTGCTGACTCTTGATCTATGCTCTTGGGGTTATTTACATCTGTGCATTGTATCTACTGTATCCCTGTGGTGGGATTACTACATAATGGTGTGCTGCTGCTTATCCTCAACTGCATCCAGAGAAATCATGTTGGTAGCCTGAAACTGGCTGTAGTGGGGGAATTTTTACCACAGAAATTAGCAAACTTCTGTGAGGTGCAAATTTTTCTGGAAAAGACCATGCAGTAAATATTCAAAGCCATTTTTTGTTTGTTGTTGTTGTTGTTGTTGTGTGTATTTGTTTTTTAAATTGACATTAGAGACAGGGTCTTACTATGTTGCCCAGGCTGGTCTTGAACTTCTGGCATTAAGTGATCCTCCCATCGCAGCCTCCCAAAGTGCTGAAATTATAGGCATGAGCCACTATTCCTGGCCCTATACCAAAGCTCTTTGGAAGTAATTTCAATCGATTTCTTCTGCAGGAACTTTTGACACTTTCTCAGGTCACTTACTCTATCAGTCTAAGGCTACAATAGCAAAGTACCACAGAATAGGCAGGTGAGATGACAGAAATTATTTTCTCATAGTTCTGGAGGCTAGAAGTCTGAGATCAAGGTATCAGTAGGGTTGTTCTCTTCTGAGGCCTCTGTCTTGGCTTGTAGATGACTGTCTTCTTGTGTTACCACATGGTCTTCCCCAATACCTGTTTGTAAAAATTTCCTCTTCTTATAAAGACACCAGTCATACTGGATTAGAGCCCACCCTAATGACCTCATTTTAACTTAAATGACTTTTTAATTTTTATTTTTTTGAGACAGAGTCTCGCTTTGTCACCCAGGCTGGAGTGCAGTGGCGTGATCTCAGCTCACTGCAACCTCTGCCTCCTAGGTTCAAGTGATCCTCCCACCTCAGCCTCCCAAGTAGCTGAGATTACAGGCGCATGCCACCACACACAGCTAATTTTTGTATTTTTAGTAGAGATGGGGTTTCACCACATTGGCCAGGCTACTCTCAAACTCCTTGCCTCAGGTGATTCGCCTGCTTCGGACTCCCAAAGTACTGGGAATACAGGCATGAGCCACCGTGCCTAGCCTTAAATGCCTTTTTAAAGACCCACCTTCTGGGGTACTGTGGGTAGGCACTTCAACATATACCTCTGGAGAGGGGAAACAATTCAGCCTGTAATACCCTGTAGCGAAAAATGCTGCAGGTCAATGTTTAACAATCAGCTGTCCAAAAAGAAAAAGTCCCGAATTGTAGCATTTGCTAACTTCTGTGGTAAAATTCCCCCATTACAGCCAATTTCAAGCTACCAACATGATTCCTCTGAATGCAGTTGGGAAGAGATAAGCAGCAGCACACCATTATATAGTAATTCTACCATGGAGATACAATAGATACAAATAACCTCAATGCATAGATGTAAATAACCCCAATAGCATAGATTGAGAATCAGCAAACTTTTCAGCAAGCTTTTCTGGAAAAGACTAAGCAGTAAATATTTTCGCATTTGCTCAACACTGCATCATAGTAAAAAAAGGAGCCAGGCTGGGTGCAGTAGCTCATGCCTCTAATCCCAGCAATTTGGGAGGCCGAGGTGGGTGGATTGGTTGACCTCAGGAGTTCAAGACCATCCTGGGCAACATGGCAAAACCCCATCTCTACAGAAAAATACAAAAATTAGCCGGGAGTGGTGGCGTGCGCCTGTGGTCCCAGCTACTCGGGAAGCTGAGGTAGGAGGATAGTTTGAGCCCAGAAGGTCAAGAGTGTAGTGAGCCGTGATGGCACCACCGCACTCCAGCATGGGTGACAAAACAAGACCCTATCTCAGAAAGAAAAAAATAAAAATAAAAAAAGGAGGTATAGATAATATGTAAATGAAAAAATAAAAAGGAGCCATAGGCAATATGTAAATGAATAGGTGTGGATGTGTACTGATAAAACCAGTTTTCAACTGGCCTTTGCCTAGTGACAAGAGTTGGGGATATCTAATGGGATAACTGCTCCGTCATCAGCTTTCAACCAACCTGCCTTGTTTTGGCCTTACTCTCCTTCCTCATCAAATGCTTAGACTACTAGTTGCAGGCACCTCCTGAACCTTCTCAGGTTAGATCAGTGGGGCAGTCATAGGAGGTACACCACTAACATCTCCCTTTTAGATAGAACTTGCCATTCAGCTGCAATGAATACCATTAAGCTAACTGCCTCCATCTGCAGCACTGTCAAGATCTACCACAGCATACCAGTTGAGGCAACGTCTTCTCTGGCAGCCCTCAGCCAATGACTGAACATGGCAATGGTATGAGGGTCTAGTCATTTCTGTCCAATGTTGAATTTCCCTAACAAGCGATATTTTCCCCAGAGTTCCACAATGGGTTAGCTGAGATTTTGCTAGATATTTACTTATTTATTTGTTTTAGAGTCTCGCTCTGTTGCCCAGACTGAAATGCAGTGGCACAATCTCGGCTCACTGCAACCTCTGACTCCCAGGCTCAGGTGATTCTCATGCCTCAGACTCCCGAGTAGCTGGGATTACAGGCATGAGCCACCACACCTGGCTAATTTTTGTATTTTTTAGTAGAGACAGGGTTTCACCATGTTGGCCAGACTGGTATCGAACTCCTGACCTCAAGTGATCCACCTGCCTCGGCCTCCCAAAATACTGGGATTACAGGCATGAACCATCCAACCCAGCCTGATTTTTAGATCTACACCACAGTCTGTGTCTTTTTTTCCCCATCATTTTTCCAGTATTCTTGTACTCCTGAGTTAATGTTATATTCTCCTTCCTGGAACATCCAAAGTGAACCAGTTGGTATAAGGATTAGTGGTCTGAATGTTTATGTCTCTCCAATATTCATATGTTCAAATACTAACCTCCAAGGTGATAGTATTAGGAGGTGGGTGGGGCCTTTGGGAAGTAATTAGCCCTCATGATTGGCATTAGTGCCTCAGAGAGCTAGTTTGTCCCTTAAACTATGTGAGGGTTGCTGGGCATGGTGGTTCACGCCCGTAATCCCAGCACTTTGGGAGGCTGAGGCGGGCTGATTACCTGAGGTTGGGAGTTCAAGACCAGCCTGAGCAACATGGAGAAACCCTGTCTCTACTAAAAATACAAAATTAGCCGGGCATGGTGGCACATGCCTATAATCCCAGCTACTCGGGAGGCTGAGGCAGGAGAATCACTTGAACCCGGGAGGCGGAGGTTGCAGTGACCCGAGATTGTGCCATTGCACTCCAGCCTAGGTAACAAGAGCGTAACTCCATCTCAAAAAAAAAAAAAAAACAGCTATGTGAGGGCACATGAGATGACGCCATCTATTACGAAGTCAGCCCTCACCAGACACTAAATTTGCCAGCTCTTTGATCTTGAACTTTCCAGCCTCTGGAACTGTGAGAAATAAATTTGTTATTTATTAGCCAACCAGTTTATGTTATTTTGTTACAGCAACCCTGTAAAAAAAGAAAAAAAAACACATTCTGTTTCCCACAATCCCACTCTCACACTAAACACAGAACACTTCTGTGAACAGATGTGTGGGGGGCTATTCCCAAAACTAAGCAATTCTCCACTGGACACCAAATGGGTATTATATAATTGAATTCAATTCTGACACTATCTACCTGGACTAGTGTAATCCACCTGGCAATTTACCTGGAGATAATGTCAGATCCCACAGTTTGAGGGTTCAGCCCCACAAGATTGCCTTCACTTCAGATTTAAGTATTAGGTTGTCACCTATACTCTGACCTGCTACAAATCAGGGTTCCCACAACCTTCTTCCAGCATTTAATTAATTTGCTAGGTTGGCTCACCGAACTCAGGTAAACAACTTATATTTGCTGGTTTATTATGAAGGATATTATAAAGGATAAACATGAACAGACAGATGAAGATAGATAGGATGAGGTAAGGGGAGGAAAGCAGGCACAGAGCGGCCATGCTGTCTCTGGGTGTGCTAGCCTCCCAACATCTCTGTATCTTCAGCAACCCGGAAGTTCATCAAATCATGTTGTCCGAGTTTTTATAGAGCTTGACATCCATCCAGCCCCACTCCCTTTCCTGGAGGTTGTTGGGTGTAGTTAAAAGTTCCAATCCTCTCATCCTGTAATCACCTGGTTTTTCTGGCAACTGGCCTGATCCTGAGGCTATTTAGGGGCCCCACCCTAAATTATCTCATTAGCATAAACTCAGATGTGATCAAGAGAGGGATATTATGAATAACAAGGAAATTCCAAGGGTTTTAGCTCTGTGACAGGAACTGGAGACAAAGACCAAATTATTTCATATTATACCACAAACTCAAACAAACGGATAGATGGGGCTTGGGGTTAGATCAGAACTGTCCCACTGTTAATGGGATATGTGATTGCTGGAGCATGGATAGTTCCTGGAAGAACGTGGTGGCTCAGTCATTAAAACTTACAGGAGTAGCCGGGTGCGGTGGGTTACACCTGTAATCTCAGCACTTTGGGAGGCCGAGGCGGGTGGATCATGAGGTCAGGAGATCGAGACCATCCTGGCTAACATGGTGAAACCCTGTCTCTACTGAAAATACAAAAAATTAGCCGGGCGTTGTGGCGGGCGCCTGTAGTCCCAGCTACTCGGGAGGCTGAGGCAGGAGAATGGCGTGAACCCGGGAGGCAGAGCTTGCAGGGGGCTGGGATCACGCCACTGCATTCCAGCTTGGGCTACAGAGCAAGACTCCGTCTCAAAAAAAAAAAAAAAACAACTTACAGGAGTGACTTGGGAGAATGTTCTGATGCAGAGCAATGCCCTTGTTGGGGCAAAAATTCAGTGTGTGTGTGTGATAATATCTACAAGAACAATGGAATTGGCCAGCTATTATAAAATTACATTAAGGCCTACAAAACGTTAATGAAAATCTGAGAGCTTGTTAACAAACAAGTGAAAACTTACTGTGTAGGCCAGACAGCTTCTTTAGTAGCTTACAAAGAGGCCCTTATCTTTTTGTCCTGGGAAAACAGAAAAAAGCTGGAACACCAAACTCAGGACTTAACAGTCAAGAAGATTAAAATACAATTGAAGCCAAGGTTAGGTTGTTAGTTGGAAAACTTGGGACTCTGGCATACAGGATGAGGACAGCTAGGGGGATACCCCCAAACATTTTGGCTGTCAAATCTCCTCTGAATACTCAGTCTGCAGAGGCTGCCTACCTTTCTTACTGAAAGCTAGTACTCAAAAGTAGATAGTTCCTGAATAAGGCAACAGAGGGCCTTCTTGGAAACCTACCCTATCTCTCATGACTGTCAGACCAGTATCTAGGATTAAGTCATGGCCCAAATGGGAATGTGCTAGGCCTAATGTATACCCCCAAAAGAAGCTGCAAGAATTAGTCAGAATATATTGGTAGGAAATAGAGGAGTATGTGGGACTGGATGTTGAGGGTGTTTGATCAAGAAGGCTGAAACATAAGACTGGAAAAAAGTGACATCATTAAGTTGGAGGCAATTTGAGGATATGAGATTTAATACTCTATCGGGGTCCCTGAGGAGGGTGCAAACTTCCGGTTAGGATGGTTACTAGAAGCAATTGCCCATGTTGAGTGAAGTCGAAATGCCTCAACTGCTAAAGGCAGACAGTGAAGAACAAGATTTAAAGGGGTCAGGGAAATGGGTAGGCTGGAGTAGATACATTATGTGAGGCCAGCAGCCCACACAAGAATGATGTTCCATGGGAGGGCCTGGAGGACACACCATTCACTAAGGCCATCAGGAATGTACTAGTAAGAGAGGCACTAGCCTCACTAAAAAGTTCAGTGCCAGTTCACCTTTGATAGTCAGAGGTAACGGTAGAAGATACTATCACAGAACTTGGCTTATCAAAAGGAATGGGAATGATGGGCCCCAGAAGCACATTAAATGCCAGGGGGCAGGGTTTATTGCCAGAAGTCAGGGGGAGTCACAATTATCATGACCAGCAAAATCAGAGTGACAGTCAAGGGGGTTCAACCCAAAACAAGTTTTAGAGTTGGCTAACAGAGTTCAGTGTCCCTATGTGCAAAACAGATGGGGAGGCAACAAGAGTACCGCCTCACATATATAATCAAAAAAAGCAAGAGTGGATGGGGAGACTAAGAGTGGTTATCACAATAAAAAGCATCATGATCCCTCACTCAATTGCCAGATCTGAGCCAATTTTCAGACTGGGAACCTGTTGACAGGTGGCCAGATCCCTGGAGGGAAGGAACCCATAATCATATACTGTAATGATTCTTCCCATCCTTTCCTAAAGGGATCTAGGCCTTTTCTCAGGTGACTGCACACTGGAAAGTGGGGAATATTTAGATACTTCAGAGAAGACAGACACAGGGTCTGAGTTGACATTAATACCTGCAGACCAACAGTATCATCTTGGCCTTACTAGAGCAGCAGCATATAGGAGCCAGGTATTAGGTTTGTGCAAAAGTAATTGCAGTTTTTGACATTTTTACTTTTAATGTCAAAAACTGCAATTACTTTTGCACCAAACTAATAATAAACTTTAGTCTTGGCCAAATCCTGGCTTATGATGTGTACCCTGGGTCCATGGGAACAGCTGATGGTCCCCAGTCCCTGAATGTTATATTTGGTATAGACATGCCTGGCAGTTAGAGTAATCTCTACATTGAGTTTTAGGTCCTGAAGTTAAGAGCTATTATAGTTAGGAAGGCATAGACATGCTTGGCAGTTAGAGTAATTTCTACATTGAGTTTTAGATCCTGAAGTAAGACCTATTATAGTGGGGAAAGCTAAGTAGAGTCTTGGAAACTTCAGACAAAAGAGTAAACCAAAAGCAGTATCTCACATTTCAGGTGGGGATGGAGAAGATTAGTGCCAACTCTTAAAGACTTCCAGGATGCCTTGATGCTGATCCCTATCATATTTTCATTTAATTCACCTGTCTGCCCCCCACAAAAACTAGATAAATCCTAGACAAGGACCACAGGCTACTGCTAGTCCAAGTAGTAGCCCTGATTGTAGCTGCCAGAACTATATCTTTAGTAGAGCATAGTATGGCCACAGGTACACAGCATGTGGTATAGCAAAATGAGCACATAACCTTCTTGACAGTTACGCTGCCCACTCCTTTAATTTTATTTATTTTTTAGAGTTGTTCCATCCATACCTCAATTATCCCAATATTTTTAGCAACTTGTTGCTATGGACTGAATGTGTGCATCCTCCCAAAACTCAATCCTACCCCCTAATGTAATATTAGCAAGTGCGGCCTTTGGTAGATAATTAGGATTAGGTGTGGTCTTGAGGGGACACTAATCCCATGAGGGATTAGTACCCAAGAGGGCTTGCTTCTTTCTGCTGTCTGCCATGTGAGAGTCCCACAAGTAGGCAGTCTGCAGCCCAGAAGAGGGCACTCACCAGAACCTGAATATGTTAACACTATCTTAGACTTCCAGCCACCAGAACTGTGTGAAACAAATTTCTGTCATTTATAGACCATCCAATCTACAGTAATTTGTTATATCAGCCTGAACTAAGACACTTGTCTTTCAGTTTTTCAAAAGCATGCAACAAAATTTTCATAGAAACAGTTGCCTTCTTAGTTCATCAATTTCCATAATTTTTTCAATTACATAATAGCAATAATGTGCAACTAGCATTAACAGGCTTACCAACAGACACAATAATCTCTTAAAACATACAATTCAACTTATAGGAAAAGTAATGCATATTGTATTAGAGTAGCTTACCATCTGCAAACACGTAGATTCATCATGCCGATGACAACAGTTTTACAGATAGAATACATAGGGTCTGGCATTCATTCCAAGGAGTTAAGTGGGGCTCAGTTATGAGTGCATTTACACTCAGAAAGAATATGATTTTCCCCTTTCTCCCAGCTTTGTGTGGGGGGTGTTGCGGGGGGATTTGTGGGAAGGGATAGAGGGTAATATAGTGAAATTTTTGCTCTTTTCAACTCTAAACAGATATGATTTTATCATATGCCTGCCCCAAACCACTATTAGTCCCCATTGCCTTCAAGAGAAATCTCTTTAAAACTAGTGCATAAGGCCCTATACCATCTCGGATCCTCACCATCTTTTCAGTCTTAATTTCTACCTTGTGCCATTTTCTGCTGCCAACTTTTTTTTCAAGCCAAATCAGAGGAGATCATGCTTTTTCACGTACCCATGTCTCTTCCACTCAGTCTGGGATGAATTTTCCCTTTTTTTGGGTGATTAGATAACTTACTGTCCAAACTGTGACACACGTGAGAAAGGGGACACTAATGAGATAAAACAATGGGAAAGCAGATGCAAACTGGGGTAGTACCCTGCAAACTGGCCTATGGTCACCCCACTCGTCATTGGCCCAGTGAATTCATCATCACTGTGATCTCACTACCTAACACTCAGTGCGTGCTTCAAAAATCTTAGCTAAAATTTATTATGTACTGTACGATCTATTGCTGTTTTTACTGCTCTCTCTAACCTTGGTCACCACTTACACATATAGAAACTTTGTGTCAGTTACAAAATGTGCCCTTTCTTCTTGGCAGCAAATTCCAGACTATATGGTGAATGGACACCAGGCTGGATTTCACAACTTTCCCCTCCCATGAACATTTTTGTGTAGCAAAACAAATTGCTCAATGCGTCTCCAACTATATATCCTGTATAAAAATTAAGAGGTTGTAAAGATATTGAAACATTCCACTAAAATACATGTCAGATGCCAGCTGAATTTTGGGTGAGATAAGATGCAAAGTGGATCTGTAGTAAGAGAAAGAAGTTAAGTATCAAATACCTATCTGGAATTTTATGCAGTGAATATGAGAACACTGTGAAAATCTATTGGGAAGTAATAAATTTGTTACACATAGAAACAGTTGAGTATTTTACAAGTGGAACATAGGGCTATAATATTACTTTGGGAAAACATACTGCCAATATCAACCTAAGAAAAAGAAAAACTGATATTCTTCTCTCTCCAAAATGGGCTTTGATAAATTATGTATAAAATGTTCAATTTGTTTTAAGAAATCTATCTTAACAAATCTATCAGTGTTTTTGTTGTTTTTCAACACTTTTGCAGTACTTTTAGCATGGTACATACATTAAAAATATTAGCCATTAGGCACTTAAAAAAACCCCAAAACTTCAAACTTCGTAACCTTTAAGATCCTGACTTTCCTTCTAGGCCTACTCCATGTACCCTACTCCTCTATTACCCATTCTCTATATCTGGAACACCAAATATTTTTATTTAAAATTGCTTGCATTAAAATAGCAATTTAAGATACAATTTTTAAAATGGGCTCAATTTAAAAGTCTAAGCTTCATCAGGTTAAAAAACTTAACAATTAAAATATGCAATTAACAAATCAAAGTGTTGAAAGGCTCACAATTAAAAAAAAAATAGCCTGTGCCTCATCTCTCCTCCCCATCTCTGTTTTCTATTTTAAAGAGACAAACACTTTTTAGCTACTGAAAGCTGTTTATTCTGCTAGCAAGTTCCATTTTTCTAAATAATATATATTCCTAGCTACTTCTTCATTTATATATTTTAGACCTTATCTCTTGACTTCTTATTAATAGGATTTTATCAGTTAGGATGCCTCAACTTGTAGTAATCACAATCCCACCTAGTTTAAAAAATGAGAACTACAGCCGAGCACAGGGGCATGTGCCTGTAGTCCCAGCTACTTGGGAGGGAAGGATCACTTGAGCCCAGGTTTTCAAAAACAGCCTGGGCAATATAGGAAGACTCCCGTCTCTAAATAAATAAAATTTTGAAAAATTTACAAAAAAAAGAAGAAGAAGAAATGAGAACTGCATTTATTTTCACAACTGGAAGCACAGAGTTTATGAGAAGCCTCAGAGTCAGCTTCACCCAGCAGCTCTAGCTCCATTTCTCTGTAGTTCCCTCAGTTCTCTTCTCTTCTGTGTGATGTCTTCATCTTTACATCGATTGCGTCTCTCGTGGAAGCAAAAGAAATGTAACAGTTCCTGGTTTCACAACAACACACCCAACACCCAGAGGCAAAAAAGAAGCTCATTGTCATCTTTCATTTAAAAAAAAAAAAAAAAGCCTCCTCTCTGAATTCCTAAACAAACCTCTCACAACTCTTTATTCCAAATTGGGTTATATGCCCATTCCTTAACTATGCCCTATGGCCTAGGGAATGCCATGAATTTATTGGCTTAGATCTGCCCATCCATAAATGTAGTAGAGTGGCAAGCAGGATGGGATTATACTAATCAATTTAAGTGAATCAGGCTGAACTCTAAAGCTGGACCATGTGGCCACTATCCTATGGGAGAAAGACAGATGGAGGTTGGATCAACAATGCCAACTTCCACTATGGGCATTTAGCACTCACATGCTACATCCACCCCTACCACTCCAATAGAACTACTGTCTATCACCATATTTTTTAAAATCAATAACAATATTTACTTCACGTTGACAATAGATGGTAATAGGGCACGATGATTTTGTTTCCTTTCTGTATAATTGTTATGCTTCACTGGTAATTTTTAATTGCTGCTTCTTAAAAATCCTACAAAATTTACTTTTAATACATCCTTAAGTTTTCCAAATGTTTCATCATATCAGTTTATCAGGGAGCTTATGTATTAGTAACAGAGAAGACAACAGACAAGACAGGTAAAATAAAGTAATTGCAAATCACGATCATTACTACGAAGGAAATACACAGGGTAATTAGAAAAGTAACAGAGGAAGCCCTCTTTGGAAAATGTTTTGGAGGCCTCTCTAAGGAAGTGACATCTGGCCTCAGACCTAAAAGATGACAAATAGCCCTATGTGTGAAGAGCCAAGGAAGCATTCCAGGAACAGAAATGACCAGAGCAAAAGCCTGCAAGTGGAAAAGAATTTGGCAGGCTTGAGGACAGAAAGCAAGCCAATTGGCTGGAACATAATGAGTAGAGGGGAGAATGATAGGGGATGGGATTTTGGAGAGTTAGACTGAAGTGAGATCATGCAGGCTCTTGTAAGACTCAATAGAAAGGAGGTTGAATTTTTCTGAAAGAGTGCAAAGCAACATGATTTGTTTTACATTTTTAAAGACCTCTCTCTCTCTGATTTCTATATGAGAGTGGCAGGCAGGGGGAAGGCACAGAACAGAAATGGAAGTATGAAAAACAGGCGGAAGTCCTACCACCATTCTCTTCCTTGCAGCAGTTCTATTTTACTGTAGATTTGGGGCTATACAGAGTTTTTTTCTTAAGTTTGAACCCTTTTCAAAATGTCTAATTAGCTTATTTTATTAATGTATTGTCATTGAAAACTGCATGTTGATTTAACTGTGAAAACCCATAGGACAACAACATGGAGAGCTAATTGTACTTCTTTTCCCTTCCCATCCAATATGTCTATTTGTCTAGGCTAATTATTTTTGATGAGTTAGGTAGGTCCATATACTGTCTCCTTGGGAGCTTTGTTAATGGCAGTATATGAAACAACAGTTTTGCACAGTTTTTACTTACATTTCTCTAAAGTGATATTAACTAAGCAGAGGAAAAAACAGAAACATGATTCATAATAACAAATGTTAAGAAATGATAAAATCAAATTGATTGAAAAATCATTTCTTAAAAGTAAAATATTCATGCCTTATACCTGTTATACCAAGTCTAATTTCAGGCAGTTAAAAAATTAAGATGTATAGAGAACTTAAAAAATGAAAAGAAAGAGAGAAGTTTCTAGCCAAATGAATATTTTTACTTCCTCAAATTAATGTTAATACAAAATTTGTAAAAATGAATTCAGATAAAAATTAAAAAATAATTTTTTAAATTGTTGAATGAGTGCTCACTCTATTATCAACTCTATTTCTTACTTACTTATCTTCAGCAGTATCTGCCTCTTCCAGTCCTTTCCATGTCACAACGCTCTCCTACCTTAAGGTCTTTGCATTTGCTCTCCTTCCTACTTTTCCCACGGTTCTTCCTACAATCAGCTCCATCTCATCCTTCCAGATACAGCTCAAAGAAGCCTTCTCTGACCACCCTAACTGCTCTTCCCATGTAAATGTCTCGTTACTCTTTCTGATAGTACCCTATCTTTCCTTTACAGAAATCATCCCAATATCTTATTTATTTATAAAGATAGAAGGACTTGCTATGATGCCTAGGTGGGCCTCCACTAAAGGTCGTAGACTCAAGCAATCCTCCCGCCTCAGCCTCTCACGTAGCTGGGACTACAGGCATGTACCACGGCACCCAGCTTCCATTTAGAATCCTGTTATTTACTTATTCATCTGTCTTTCTCCTCCTCCAATTTCAAACTAGAATGTCAACTCCAAGTGAGAAAAACCCTGTCCTTCACACTGTTTTCCTAGTACTTGGCCTGAGGACAGGGATAGAGAGAGCTTTCAAGAAATATTTGAATTTATACTGCAATCTGTGGACTCAATACAAATTTAACTAGCTCAATTACAGTATATACTGTATGCAGCAGGAGTATGATAGGACATAATAGGCCCTTGTAATCTTACAAGGCATAAATTAATTGAACCACTTCCTAACCAGTTATTAGAAAATCTGGCTACACCCAGTTTGGATTCCCTTTTATAGAGTCCTTCAGGTACATTCCCAAGTGAAAGACACTGAGGTTCCTCATTTGGGTAAGGGTACTCACTTATGGCAGGTGCAAATTCCTTTGAATTGGAGAATGGGAGGTGCCTGAGAAGTTGAGATAGTCTGTGGTCTGGGTCTACTGCAGACATTGGGGTTTTATGGCATGCAACTGCTCTACTGTGAAGGATTGCTTGCCGATTTTCTTTTAGGGGAGATTCCTTTTGTATTTAGTTAATGCTGAAGACCTTAGTGGGTCAGCTTTCTCCTTAAGTTGTCAATTCTTCTGAACTTCTGTTTCTTAGCAACAGCTGGGACTCTGTCCATCGACATTGTTCTGTTTTAGCCTCACAAGCAAACAAGAGAATAAGCAGGCATGCCAGCTTGCCCTTTAGTCATATCCCTATACACACAGTGCATTCCAATCCTAGTTGCTATTGATAGATGGTGTGAAGTATCATCATATTTCTGTGAGGCATGAAAAGGGGTAGGCAGTAGAAAATATTTGGGGAGGAAGCTGAGGAATTAGAGTTCTTTATTATCACTTGCACCTCCTTGAGTCTTATTCCTAATACTAAGATTTCACTTTCTGGTACTCAGTGTAAAAACTCTAGTATTAGAAAAAATGTGGCAAAAAAATGCTGCAATTAAACACGCCTCTCGAATAATTTGATCTGGTCAAACATTCTCAGACCATAGGCTACAGGCAGAAATGGCTTCCAATAATTGTCAAATTTGCAGAGTTTGCTCCAATCTGCTTTGTTTCTGGAAAACTTGTTTAGAATGCCTCTCTTTTCCAATGTGCTTTTCAAAACTCATATATAGTAACCAATATACTTGACATTTAAAAATATTTGGCTACCAAATTCTGTAATGCAACACTCAATGACTGAGTTCTAAAACACTGTTGGAGAAAGTCTGGATAAAAGGATTCACTGCTGCATAACACAAACTAAGTTTCCATCTTAATGGTGGAAAGTCCACATTACCCACCTATCTCACCTTGAATCAGCCATTGTCAGTTTCTGTGAGGTTTGTTATTTGCAACCCCATTCACAGTCAAACTGAGGCAGGGCTCTTTCAGTTGCAACTGGCTGAAACCCACTCAAGCTAGATTAAGACACAAAATTTTATTTTAAGGATAAATTATTATAAATAATTCAAAGATAGGGAGCAGACCTATCCTTGCAAAGCGCTAAGATCAGGAACCAGAAAGCTATCAGGAACTGAGGCAGCTACAGTATCTCTGTCTGGTATGTCAGCACTGCTTCATGAAAGCAGACTCCGGGGTCAAATTACTTGGGTTTTACTATCTTTAGCACTTACTTTAAGCAAGCTTTTTAGTTTCCTTACCTGTAATGTAAGGATAATAGTACAGGTTGAGCACCCCTAATTAAAAAGCTGATTTGCTCCAAAATCTGAAACTTTTTATTATTATGTTTTAAATACAGCTGGGGTTTCACTATGTTGCCCAGGCAGGTCTTGAACTCCTAGATTCAAGCAATCTTTCTGCCTCATGAAACTTTCTGAGCACCCACATGACACAGCAGGTGGAAAATTCCACACCTGACCTTGTATGATGCATCACGTGTTTCATGCACAAAATTACTGAAAACATTGTATAAAACTGCCTTCAGGCTATGTGTATAAGGTATATATAAAGCATAAAATATAAAGCATAAAAGAATTTCATGTTTAGACTTGAGTACTCATCCCCAAATATCTAATTATATATACGCGAATATTCCAATAACCCAAATCCTAAACACTTCTGGTCCCAACCATTTTGGATAAGGAATACTAAACCTGTACCCAAATTCACAGACTTATAGCACTTAGAACACTGGGTGACACAGTAAGTAATCTGAGATTACTCTTGTTCTGTATCACAGCTCTCAGATTCTCCACATGCTGCTTGCTACCAAACAAAGCAGCCCTGGCCTAAGGTTATATTTTCCCAGTTCAAGTGATCAGCAGTCTGACAAGCTTCTCTCAATCCTAATTTTAAATTCTCAGAAAAATCTGATTCATTCAGATAGGGTTCTGTTGTTCAACTAGCTAAAGCCAGAGGTGTTAGGTCACCTAATGCATTCTTAACTGCTGAGGCCCATTCCTGAATGTGTGTGGACGTTTCTCAGTGGTGAGGGATCATGAATGAAGGCTAAAATTTTAAAAATGTTTTTTATACTTCTCTCAGCTATCTTCTGTTCTTTTATAGTCACAAAAAGTACCCAAGTAAGTGACTTATTCAATGTCATACAGCTAATGAAAGATGAAGCTGTGATACAAAACTAGGTCTGAAGCTGGTCCAAAGGTAGTGAGTTATCTCAATTGGTTGTTCAGTCAGGTCTAGATTGAACTCTTGTTCTACTCTTTCCCTCCTTCTCACTCCTGCACTTGACTAGTCTTAAAAAACAAACAAACTAGGTCTGATTCCAAATCCCATATTCCTTTTACCAAATAATGCATTAGAGTTATTTATATTTATTGAGAATATAGTATGTAGTTGACCCTGTATTTAACCAAGCTTGAGACAGAAGACTTCAAGTAGTTAAGAAGTGGCTTTGCTGTTTTTCTTATATTTAGTAATTAAAAAACACTGGAGTATAACACATATAAAGTTCACAAAAAGTCAATGTGCGGCTTGATGAACTTTCTCATACGCATACACCAGTATAACATTCCAGATCAAGGTATACATTTCCATCACTTCAGAAGGTTCACTGTGCCCCTTCCAAGCCAATACCAACCCCAGAAAGGTCAATATCATCCTGACTTCTATCATCGATTAGTTTCGCTTGTTCCTGAATTTCATATAAATGGAATTATACAATATGAATTATTTTGTGTTTATTTCACTCAATGCAATGACTGCGAGATTTGTCTATGTTACTGTGTGTAGCATTTTCTTTTTTATTACCAGATAATATTCCATTTTATGAATATGCTTCACTTTGTTCCAGTTTGGGGCTATAATGAATCAAACTGCTATGAACATTGTTACACGAAACTTTTAGTAGCCACATACATTAATTTCTCTTGCGTATACACTCAGGAATGAAACTGCTGAATTACAGGGTAGGATAAGTTCAGCTATAATGAATACTGCACATCAGTTTTCCAAAGTGGTTGTAACCAATTTGCACCCTTACCAGCAATAACAGTTTGTTACACTGTAAATTGTTAACAAGAAAAATAACATTGCAATCAGTCTATTATGCTAGTCACATTTCTTTGTTCTGAAAAATGTATTTTATTTGAGGCTCCTTTGTTACTGGTTATAAGAAAGGGTGAGTTTTGGCTAAGCTGTTAGGTAGAGAGTAGATCCTCATTCATTAGCACCCTTACCAAACCACAACTCCAATCTGTGTAAGATTTCACTGGAAAATACTACCTAGCTTGCCATCGCTTACAGCAAGTTTTTTCAACAAGGGCACTCTTGTCATTTTGAGCCAGATAATTCTTTCTTATGAGAGGAGAGGGGGCTGTGCAGTACACTGCAGGATTTTTAACAGTATCCTGGCCTCTAACTACTATGTATGAATAGTGCCAACTCCGCAAAACCCACCCACTGGGATGACCACAAAAATGTTTCCAGATTTTGGCAAATGTTCTCTTTTGGGCGAAATCCTCCCTACTCAATGGCCATTACCAACCACTGTTTTATAAATAGGTGTCCTGTCCTACCCACATGTCATCTAAACAAAACGTTATGAGTCAATACTGTGTTAATAGGATGCTGTCAATGATTTTTCAACAATGGCACATTAGAATCACCTAGGGGAGCTTTTAAAAAAATGCATGTGCCAAGGCCCCACCTCAGAACCATGGAATATAATCTTGAGCATTTTTAGTACACAACTCCTCAGTTAATTCTAAATTTTGGCACAGCTGAGAATTATGTATCTTCTAAACATATTACTCTTCCCAGGAATATATGCTTTAAAACAGATTTCTATCAATGACTTTTCAAGCATTAGTAGAGGATGAAGTATAGATTTGTGGAACAGGAGGTTCTCAGTCTCAAATCACACCAATTAAGTGACCACCCATAGCCCGTAACTGTAAATGATGGTATTGTTCAGTTCCTGTTTGAAAAAAAACAATGAAAACAAATTCTCCCAAATCAGACTTTGAAGATATTAATGTATTTGTTTTTTAGATGATTAATATGTGCTAATCCTTCCACCTAATTCTTATACAGCAACTGGACATTATTCACCACTCTTTCCATGAAGCCTTACTCATCTTCAGTAGCGCAACACCCTGCTGGTAACTGTGTAACTCCTCCTTATCCAGTTCATCTTCCTCTACCTAGTCAAAAATAAACTGGAATTCTTCACTGCACACACTTAGGCTGTCTTCCAAGTTTACTTCATGAATACTCAAGACTTTAATTTTTCCCTACACACTTCACACTTAACAGCTTTAATTTTCAGTCTAGACTTCACTTAGCTCCATGGTTCTATCCAGAAACCTCCTGGGCAATTCAAAGGCATCAGAAATTCTGTAAGTCTTTTTTTTTTTTTTTTTTTTTCCCAAGACAGAGTCTAGCTCTGTCGCTCAGGCTGGAAGGCAGTGTCACGATCTCGGCTCACTGCAACCTCCGCCTCCCAGGTTCAATCCATTCTCCTGCCTCAGCCTCCCAAATAGCTGGGACTACAGGTGCATGCCACCATGCCCGGCTAATTTTTTAATTTTTAATTTTTAGTAGAGATAGGGTTTCAACGTGTTGGCCAGGATGGTCTCGATCTCCTGACCTTGTGATCCACCCGCTTTGGCCTCCCAAAGTGCTGGGATGAGCCATCACACCCGGCCCAATTCTGTCTTAAACCAAACGTAATGATCTCCCTATCTATACATCTCCAAATACATTACTATATAAGTGAATGTCATTCAGCTGCAAATGACTAACATCCCTCCTCCTCCTAACCCTGCCTGAATCCAATCCCATCAAGTTTTGTTACCCTTCCCAATTCTACTTCTCTCCACCTCCATTACACTATCCTAGTCTATCATGTCATTTCTAACCTCTCTTATCTGCCAAAGACTCCTGACTTAATTAGGAATAC
The DNA here is from genome assembly GCF_000001405.40 of Homo sapiens. Lineage (NCBI taxonomy): Eukaryota > Metazoa > Chordata > Mammalia > Primates > Hominidae > Homo > Homo sapiens. The sequence continues at coordinate 98,933,976 of NC_000005.10, read as the reverse complement.
TGTATCTACTTCAACCCACATCTAATCCTTCTTTGGGATTTATACCTAAAGTAAAAACTTTCAATTTGCCAGTCCCATCAAGCTACCACCCAGTTTCAAATCCTTCAATAGCTTCCTCATTGTCTTGAAAAACATACTTCACTTAGCCTTTGGGCCTAGTGTCTATGTAGCCTCATCTTGTCCAGCTGCTGTTTGCTCCAGCAGAACCATGCTTCTTAGAGTCCCTTATAGATAGGATGGCCCTGCAATTTACTATCCAAACCTGAACACTTCTGAAAGTGAATACGGCCTGTTCTTGGCAAACTGGCAAGTGCACTGACGTGATCTCTCTGACCCCAGAATCTTTGCCCATGTTGTTTCTTTTACCCAGAAAGCAGCTCTTGTACTTCCCTTTCTTGCCTACCTAATTCATATTAATTCTTCAGCTCTAGACCACAACGATCACGTCACTTCCTTGAGACTTTTCTGACTAGGGTTCTTTATTATGGATTCTCACAGCACCGTATGTCTCTTCATACTATTTTTCTAAGTTGTCATTTTATAGTGTGACTGTGTCCTGAACTAGGCTTTAACTTTGAAAGTGTTAGTTTTTGCTGTATTATAATCCCTCCCTACCCTCAGCAGAATGTCTGGTATGTAATACATTCTTACATTTGTATTGAATGAATATCAATACAATGCACTGGGGCACAGTACTCTTTGCTCAAGGACCTCACAATGTAGTATGGAAACAAATGCTATATTGTGATACAATGACATGCCGCACTTACAGAATACTCAATTCCATGTCCTAAAAGGGAGGTCAGAGAGTTTTCTGACAAGTCTTATAGGTTGTCAGCACAATTGTGTCAAGGTACTCAACAGTTCTTGAGCATTTACTTAAACGAACTTATGAAAGACTGACCCATAAGATAAATGGGTTATATCCACTTACAATGAGAGATACCTTTCCAGTGACCTGAAGAAGTGTCTAGAGTACCAAGTGTCCATTAGGAATGATGAGAGGCAATACTGAGATTAGTCTGTGAAAAAATTAAGTAACTAAAATACTAGGAATATATGATATGTACATACATCTTCATATATGTTTAGTTTACAAATATATGTGGTATATAACAGGGGACTGATTTAGTTAGATTTCAAGTTTGAAGGAAACCTAAAGGATAAGCTGAAGGGAAAGATAGAGAAAATAGAGGCCTAAACTAAGCCCGGTAGTGGGAGTTAAAAAGAAAGGATGAATACAAAATTTCTGCATTAAAATGAGTGGTACCGTTTGTCCCTCAGTATCTGCAGAGAATTAGTTCCAGGACCCCCATTTACCAAAACCTGGGGATGCTCAAGTCCCTTATAGTTGAGCCTCTGTACCTGCAAATCCCTGCAGGTACAGAGGACCAACAGTATTTGGACAGCAGTGAATAAAGAATCTGGGCAAGGGCTGGGCATGGTGGCTCACACCTGTAATCCCAGCACTTTGGGAGGCTGAAGCAGGCAGATCACCTGAGGTCAGGAGTTTGACACCAGCCTTGCCAACATGGTGAAACCCAGTCTCTACTAAAAGTACACAAAATTAGCTGGGTGTGGTGGCGCGTGCCTGTAGTCCCAGCTACTTGGAAGGCTGAGGCATGAGAATCACTTGAACCCAGAAAGCGGAGATTGCAGTGAAATGAGATAGCACCACTGCACTCCAGCCTGGGTGACAAAGTGAGACTCTGTCTCAAAAAAAAAAAAAAAAAAAAAGAATCTGGGCAAGGAAATGAGTGATACAGCATCAATGCAATAATTTTTAAATATTTTTGAGGTTGGCTACTTAACCTTCTTTCTTACTCTGCGTGCACACTTAATTTTTCAGTAGAGGATGGAATCTTTGTATCTTCTTCAATGCCTATTAGATTTTATACATACTTGCCTCTTAGTATCATCTCTAACAATTTTCTGTTTGAAATTTAGCTTTTAGTGATTCAAGAATTTATCATTCAAAATCCCCAAATACAGTGACCATAAAGAAGGTGGATGAGCCGCTGGTAGATATCAGAATAATCTGGGAAACTTCCCAAATACTACCTAGAACCTAGAAATTCTGCATATCAGCAGAGGGGAAGAATAGGAGTGTCAGGCACGTGTAGTTACAAAAGAACTTTCCAGGTGACTGAGTCCTATCCCTTGCCCAACACTGGGAACTAAACTCCTCTAATTTCTTATTAGGAAAACAGAAAATGTACAGCAAATCTTCACTAGAAGATGACTTAGGATTTCATGGTTTCTATTCAGAGGACTTTGTAAATTTAAGAATCATATTGGAAAGACTTCCTCTGGTTTTGCAAGGACATGGGAAATACTGTCACAGGTTGAGATTCTAGGGTATTTTAATAATGTCCCGATTGTTTTTGTGGTTTCTCATATGCAAATCCTCCAGGCAACAAGGACATAATTATGGAATTAAAATCTTAACCCTGGCATCCAAAAAGCTAACAAAGGAGCAAGTTATCCTGTTTATGTTATATATTTCACAATTCTGGATATGTGGTTCCCAGCCTATCCCCACCTAAGGATACCCATTTAGTACTTTACCTAGTAAAGCATATCACAATTAAGGACCCACAAAATGCTGTCTTAGATTCCGGAAAAGTAATATTCTTTCCAAAGAATATGAAATTTTAAAAATGAGAAATTAAATAGTAACAAAAACCTCCTGGTTAATGTTAATTATGTGGAATTTTTCGTTAGTCATGTGTTGAGATTATCAACTGTTTGGCTATTGTTTTAGTACCACTAAGTAGAGATAAAGCTAGTTTATTCAAATAAAGTGACACTGCAAATTTAACTATGTTGATAACAAATCATCAAAAAGGTATCTTTGGATTACCTACACGCTTTTTAAAAAATGAACTGGCAAGATTGTTGCAATTTTCCACCTACTGTGTACTTCTGCAAAGCAATAAAGTATGATTTTACTCGAAATCTAAATCTCCAATGTTCAATATTTTATTACAAATTGGGCAAGATCTTTTTTCGAATAGCATGTTTGATGGCACAATACGACAGAATAGCATATTCAATGGCACAATTAGTAGTAAAAAAACAAAAAACCTGCCTGACGTGCTTCCGGAAAACGTAAAATAGACTGTATATACAGTAATTCTTTTCATAAGACAATGACAAAATGTCAGAGTTGTAATTGAGGACTTTATTAACTGAACTATACTTCTGATTACAACATTCTGTGTATGTTAATAGTTTCTCTGGAGAAATTACGGGCACAGGAAGTTCCTCTCATTAAGGATATTAACATAAAGCTTAATATGAAAAATTAGCACTCAGTTCAGAAATGACGACTTCAGAAATGACTTCAGAAATGACGATTTGTATGATCTTTTCATTCCTCACAACCCAGTATTAAAACTATCTAATATTGCAAAGGATGGTAGTGTTCCACTTCGTTTTGCTATTCAATTATTGCTGATAGATACATGTTTTCAAAAAGGCCATTGGCATCTGTTTGCTTTCTCCTACTTCTCCAAGTGAATACACCCTTCAATATGTAGTAAATACATATGTGGAGTTATGTTTTGAGATTTTTTTGAAGGATTTGAACCAAACTGTTTAAACAGCTGGTAGCCTAAAACTGGAATATTTCCCACAAGGGAAAAATAATTATTTGGGGAATGTATGTTACCACAAACTCATCTGACTTGGAAAGTGCGCCTTTACACCAAATCAAATAACTGAACAATGGGATTAGAAACTTTTAATTATTATTAACCTCGGCCACCGGGCGCCGTGGCTCACGCCTGTAATTCCAGCACTTTGGAAGGCAGTGGCAGGTGGATCGCTCGAGCTCAGGAGTTCAACACCAACCTAGCAACATGACAAAACCCCGCCTCTACAAACATAAATAAAAAACAAAAATCATTAACCTTGAGTGAGTCAAGTTCATCTGCAGACTGAAAAAAATAAAGTGTAACAGAATTTTGATTTAAAAAACGCTTTCAAAAAAGCATTTCAAAATGCTCTAAGTATGTTTCAAAAATACACTTAAAAATATGTTTCCAACACACTGAAGGGATTTAACTAAGATCCACAATTACAGTTACGATACAAACTGTAAGCTAAAAGGCAGCAACTTAAGCTGAGACAGTTACTAACATCCCTCGAGCAGCGTTTTTTGTTGCGATTCGGCGCCGCACCCGTCACCCCGCCCTCCGGGGAGGAACCTAGAAAGGAAGGGTGGTACATTTCTAAACCAGGCCACCCACACATGAATCAAGCGGCATCACAGGCTGTCAACAACCGGGTCTCTATTTTCTCTCCTCCTCCGGCGCCCCGCCCGTGCGGGACATCAGCTCCCAGGATGCGTCAATCGCAGATCGCCCAAGCGTAAGAGGTGGCGAGAGGCCACCACGGTTGCCCAACAGTTGCGTTCCCAGGCTGCCTGGTGTGACGCAGCAGCCCCCGCCCGGACCCTGAGGCCTGGCGCTCCGACTGAGCCGAGGCCTGTGCTACCCGACACTCCTTGCGACCCGGCCCCTTAGGCTTATTCAGCGCGGCCCTTCCCGGCTTCCCGAGTCCCATCGCAGTCTCTCCCCACCCCCGTTCCTCCCCGGTTCCTTGTCAGTGTCCGCCGCGATGTCCTTGCGCAACCATCCCAAGTGACATTAGCGCCCATACCCGCACGGAGCGAGCCTGAAGCTCCCACTTCCCGGAATTCAACGCCGGGCCGCTAAGGGCGGGCACCCAAGCGAGGATCAGCGGACTAAGGCCGCGACCAGAGTCCAGCGGTCTCCGCGCAGTCAGAGTCCGACAGCCTCTGCGCATCCGCCGTGCGCACTCCCATTCGTGCGCGTGCGCGCACTCGCCCCCCCCGCCCCGCCCCAGCACCAATCGCTTTTTTCCTACGCCCACGACCCTTCAACGTAGTCCCTCCCGCCTCCCGCGCGCGAGCAGAAAGGCTTCGGCGTGCGCGCGCCCGCCCGCCTCGCGCTCTGTCGGGAAGGGGAGTGAGCAGAGGCGCTTACGTCGCGCGGGAGGCGGAGGCGACGGCGACCTCGGTGGCGGCGGCGGCTACGACGGAGACGGTTGCGCTCGCTTGCTTTCTCGGCGTCATGGCGGCTGCCGGGGGCAGATAAGCGGAGGGAGCGGGAGCGCGCGCGCGACGGCGGCGGCGGCGGCGGCGACGACTGGTTACTTATAGCTCTTGCTGCCCTCGCCCTTGGTGCTTCAATAATGAATTGTTAGCTCCACTCCGCAGGGGATCGCGCGTTGGTGCTGCGGACCGGGGCTTCCCCTTCCCCTCCGCGTCTGTCCCCTTCCCCCTCCCCCGCACGGACTCTTGCTTACCCCGAGACGCCGGAGCCCTAGGACTGGGCGGCGGAGATCCCGGGCCTGGGCGCGGGGGAGGCCGTCCACCCGAGTCGGCTCCCTCCGCCCCGCCAAGCCCGCCGGTAAGAAAGGGGGCGGCGGGCGGGTCAGGATGTGGCGGAGAGGACAGGAACCGGCCGGGCGGAGGGCGGGCGCGGCGCGGTGCCCAGGCGGCGGCCCAGCGGCCGGGTGAAGGCCGGGTGGCTCTGTGAGTGCCGGTGGCGGTGTACGGGCCTGGCGCGCAGGGGGCGTGTGAGCGGCGAGTACAGGCCGGGGCCGCAGAACGCATCCTTGCGCCGGCCCGGCGGCCCTGCCCCGGCCTCTTCGGCTTGGTGCCGACCGGGCCGCGAGAGGAGACCCGCGAATGGCTAGCACTTAGCCGGTGCGTGGGTCCTGCCGCGACCCGGGCTCCCAGCACGTGGGGAGCGGCGGGAGGGGGAGGGGGCGGCGGCTCGGGCGAGCCTGGGAGGGCGCGGGGCGGGTCTGCGGGAAGTTTGAGGCGGGAAGAGGGACTCCTGGACCGGGATGGAGGCCCTGGGAGAGGGGGGCAGGTCCGCGAGGGAGGCTGATTGGAGCGCGCTGGATGGATGAGTGAGGATGGTTTCCAAACCTCTTTCGAGTGCCGCTTTAAAAACTTAGCAGGAGCAAAGCAACTGCTAAAAGACAGAGGATTGAAGAGGTTTAATAACTTAGGGTAGTCATTGTGGAGACGCTTGAGAGGACACAGCGCTGTGTGCGCTTGGAGCTTCAGAACTCAGGGTTGTGAAAAGGGTCTCAGAGGACTTATTCGGATAAGGGAGATGGAGGGGAAAGGAAGTTAAAATGTACAGAGAAAGCCATTTTGAGGGACGAAAGGAAGGTGAAAAGGAAAGAACGAAAAGGGGAGTGAACTTTTTAAAGGAAGAAACGGGAAAGGCAGTTTGTTAACATACTTAGATTTTTTAAGACTTAATTGTTCAGTAAGGCACTTTGACTAGGGTTGAGATTAATATTTAACATTAGGAATAAATGTTGAGTAGAACGGTTACTTTTTAGATAACCTGTTCTTGCAGAGTCTACTGGACAGTAGTCTAGAGAATTAACATCCTGATCCAGATGCAGACTTTGCTATCATTGAGTTGGTAACAATCTGTTTCCCTCCCTCTCTTGTGGAATGGAAATAATCGTAGGAGTGAATTCTCTTTGCTGAGGTCGGAGGACAGCTCTGCTCTCAGTTGGCTGTCTCGGTACTTTCTGGCTGGGGAAGGATCTGACGTCTCCTTCCCCCGCTTCTTCCTCTCCCTCCCCTGCCAGAGATCTCCTTTGTTTATTCGTGGATGGCTTGTAGGTGATTCTTCAGTGTTGTACTGAAATCTTTAAAGGTGGAAATGGTGTGTCTTGGTTCATTATTCTTGCCCCAAATTTTTTACGTAAAAAATCAGATATAGTGTATATTCTATTACCTTTTCAATTTTTTTCACAAAATAAAAACCAAGTGCAAACTGGTTAAGTATTATTTAAATGTTATCATCCCACTATCCGTTTACCTGTTAAATAACACATTTATTTTGAGCTATGCATTTTTGTTGAGAGTATATGGTATCTTTTATTTGCCTGTTCCTCCCATGGGAGCGTTTTCAGAACTTTCTCACTCAAGTGTATGAAGTTCTTGGTGATAGGAGTGAGGGCTTGATTAAAGGTAACCTCCTCCCACCCCCCCCCCCACTTCATTTATTCGACCAAGTTATCTAATAAGACTCCGTTATCTACTCTTGGGATGTATGCATATGTTACATCGTATCACCTTGCTTTAGGAGTCTATAAAAACATTGTTAGTTGCAGTTAGTCTCTAAAAATCCTTTCACTCCACAAATATTTTAATTTTTTCTGTCCGAAGTATATTAGCAGTAGCATACTAAATTCTAGTTAGCAGTCAGGAGTGTAGTTATTACAAGTCTAGATATTTTAAGTATTTAATAAAAGGCCCCCACTTCTTCCTTAACAGCTGTAGTCTAATTGGCCTACGTAGATTTATACGTTTTAGACAGGGCTTAATTTACCTTTTTTCTGCAGGAAATTTTGTTAATTTATTAATATATTTTCTTTAGGTGAATCAAAGGAGAGTCCCAGAAAACCTGTGACTGTTGAAGAAAATTCATCTGTGAATTTTTATATTCAAGGAGTCAGTATTTATATTCATCTTTTAAACTGGGAAGATTTATATTTTACTTTAAAACTTCTTGATAATAATTTACAATGAATGGACACAGTGATGAAGAAAGTGTTAGAAACAGTAGTGGAGAATCAAGGTAAGTAAGCACTTTGTTATCAATTGTTTACTATGAAGAGAGTTGAAAACTTGACTTTTTTCTTTATTGTTATTGTTGTTATTTAGTTTTCCTCATAGGTAGCAGAGTTTTCAGGTTTTCCTCTTAGCTATCCAAATACTAAAAAAATTCTGATATACGAACCTTTTTTCATAATACAGGTTTTAATTATATTTTTCATTCAGATACACAGTAGATCTTAAATATAGAAAGTTTTTGTTTACTTAAATCTATTTGGAAGTTTATATTTGAGCTAATAATTAAGCTGGAGCATGTATAATAGATTTAAATTGTTTTGACTGTTAGTGAAATTTCTAGATGAAGGCAATAAAAATTTTTTCACTCATCTTTTTCTGGCATTTTGTCTTCTATACCTGTACTGTCCAGTGTGGTAACCACTAGCCACATGTGGCTATTTGAACTCAATTACAAAATATTCAGAATTTACTTAGTCATACTAGATATATTTCAAGTGCTGAATAATCACATGTGGCTAGTGGCTACCATATTGGACAGCACATAGAAAACATTCTATCACTGGAGAAAGTTTTAGACAGTGCTGAGCCAGACATTTGTTGAAATATTACTGTGGCCCTTTTTTATTTTCAGATTGGAGTTTTAATTATCTGTGAAGGAGTTAAGAGTTCTTGCTTGGGTCAAGTGTTTGCAAAGAAGATTCTTTAAATTCTGTAGCTCTCAAATTTTGAGTTATCTGCACATTAGTTTACAATCCATGTAGTTATATGCATTATCATATATAGAAATTAGGAATGTGGGCACTGGAGTCAAACTGTTTGCTTACCCTATTTCTACCTCTTATTAGTTGTGTGAATTAGGGCAAATTACTTAATCTCTGAGGCTCTGATTTTTGCCCCATAAAGAGGGGATTAAACTATTGTTTATCTTATTTAAAGTTCACGGCTGGGCTTGTTGGATCCTGTTTGTAATCCCAGCACTTTGAGAGGCTGAGGAAGGAGGATCACTTGAACTCAAAAGTTGGAGACCAGTTTAGGCAGCATAGTGAGACTTTGTCTGTAATTTATAAAAAATAAAATTTAAAAAAAATTTGAGGATTGAGATGCTTCATGTAAAGGGCTTAAAATATTTTCTGAGATAATGAGCACTGAATATTTGCTTATTGTAACCAGCATGTTTTGTGTAACACAGGATACTATATAAAAAAAACATTAATTACAGTGATGGAGACATGGGGGTGGACAAGAAACAGGAAAGTTTTGGCAATTAGGAAGATTAAGAAAAAATGTTAGATAGAAAACTAAATAGTGGTATTTGTATTTGATCTGAAACTTGGACTTTTCTTTTTCTTTTTTTTTTTTTGAGACAGAGTCTTGCTCTGTCGCCCAGGCTGGAGTGCAGTGGTGTGATCCCGGCTCACTGCAACCTCCACCTCCCAGGCTCAAGTGTTTCTCCTACCTCAGCCTCCGGAGTAGCTGGGATTACAGGCGCTAGCCACCACTCCCAGCTAATTTTTGTATTTTTTTTGTAGAGATGGGGTTTCGCCACATTGGCCAGGCTGGTCTCGAACTCCTGGCCTCAAGTGATCCACCTGCCTCGAGCTCCCAAAGTGCTGAGATTATAGGCATGAGCCACCACGCCAGGCCTGACACTTGGAATTTTCTGACCTTGCTAGTTATACTTTAGTTTATCAGCTTTCATACATACTGTTTGGATAAGCAAGAACATCATAGAGAATAAAATAAGGAACAGTTATGGAAAGCAGCATTATTACTTGAACAAGTATTGGTCTAGGAGTTATACAACCTGAGTTGATGCTATCTCTGCATTAATTAAAACTCATATGATTGCCTCAACTCTAAGGATTGAACTGATATTGAAGTTTCATTTTAATTAATTACAAAGTGCATCGTAAAGTTTCAAACAGTAAAGTTTTACTAGAATCACCAGAGTTGAGGTTTAATTAAAAGACTTTTGAATCTGAGCTTTGATTCAAATCTCTATAGGTATGTTGACTACTGACTATAGTTAAGTAAATAGAAGAGTCATATTGTCCACCCACAATTTTTTTTTTCTTTTCTTTTCTTTTGAGACAGGGCCTCACTCTGTCACCCAGGCTGGAGTACAGTTGTGTAGTCTCAGCTCACTGCAGCCTCTGCCTCCACCTCCTGGGCTCAAACGATTCTCCCACCTCAGCATCCTGAAAGGCGTGCATGCCACCACACTCAGCTAATTTTAAAATTTTTTGTAGAGATGAGGTCTCACCATATTGCCTCAGCTGGTCTTGAACTCATGGGCTCAAGCAGTCCTCCCACCTTGGCCTCCCAAAGTGTTGGGATTACAGGTGTGAGCTGCCACACCCGGCCTCACATTTTCTTATTCATAGTTGGAATGGAATGGTTAGTAGGTAGAAATACCTAGAGGAAACAAAGGAACCAAACTATTCATAAAATAGGAGATAAGACTCGAGAGTAAATCTTCTAGTTGGATATGCAGACAGATCATGTGCTGGTATATTCTGACTACTTACCTGTTCCAATATTTTATATATTTTTCTGCCATATCTAAAGCGAGGAGGAGTAATAAGTCCAATTTGATACTACAGGTGAAAAAAAATTAAACCTTGTGGCCGGGTGCGGTGGCTTACGCCTGTAATCCCAGCACTTTGGGAGGCCGAGCAGGCAGATCACCTGAGGTTGGGAGTTCGAGACCACCTTGACCAACATGGAGAAATCCTGTCTCTACCAAAAATACAAAATGAGCTGGGTGTGGTGGCCTGTAATCCCAGCTGCTCGCGAGGCTGAGGCAGGAGAATTGCTTGAACCCAGGAGGCAGACGGAGGTTGCAGTGAGCCGGAGATTGCGCGATTGCACTCCAGCCTGGGAAACAAGTGAAACTCCGTCTCAAAAAAAAAAAAAAAATTAAACCTTGCGAAATCAAATTTAAGGAATCTTTTACAATGCATACTCATCTTAAATAATTGCAAAGCATATTTCTTTAATTATTCGGAGTTGTTAATTCTGCTATACAGGTTTTGTGTGCTTCTGAAAAGTGTGGTTATCAAGTTATCTAGTTTTTACAACTGCCTTGGAGTTTATCAGGAGAGAGACCTTCTTTTTTGCCTTCATTTTCTTTCTTACCGCTGCTATACTATGCTCTACTGTCATTAACACTCAATTCCCACTCCCTTCCCCAGAAGCTTTTGTCATAAGACATTACAAAGAAGGGAGATTGTGCCTAGTTAAAAGACTGAGGAGGTGAACTTTAGAGGTAGAGGGATTTTCTTGCAAAAAAAACTAAAGTTTCTATAACTATGAATATTAATATAGAGTAATTTTTTTTCTTTTTTTTGAGCCAGAGTCTTGCTCTGTCGCCCAGGCTGCAGTGCAGCGGTATGACCTCGGCTCACTGCATCCTCCGCCTACCGAGTTCAAGCAATTTTCCTGCCTCAGCCTCCCGAGTAGCTGGGACTACAGGCATGCACCACTGCATCCAGCTAATTTTTGTATTTTTAGCAGAGACGGTGTTTCGTCATGTTGGCCAGGCTGGTCTCGAACTCCTGACCTCAGGTGATCTGCCCGCCTTGGCCTCCCAAAGCACTGGGGATTACAGGCATGAGCCACCGTGCCTGGCCCCTAATATAATTAGATTAGAAATATACTTTGTTTCTAAAGTTGATATTCATTGTAAGTAGCTTTTTAAAGTAAATTTTGGTTTTTTAGTGGCTAGAATTCTATAATGTATTTTTGCTTCAAAATTTCCTTTTTCTTTTGTGAAAGTTTATTAAACGGAATAGAATTAAGAAAGAATTCATTTGGCATTTGCAGGTTACAGTTAGCTTTCTACTGAAAAAAAAAATTTTTAACTATTCTTTCTGTCTGGAGATCTCTCTATAACTATTCACTGAAAGGAAGAAGAATACACAGGAAAAATATGTCTCTTTTGCTATGCTATTGCTGACAGTCTTGAAATTTAGTTACTAAGAAATGTGGGCCAGGATGCACCTGTATAACAGTTACAGCTCAACACAAAGTTTTATGTAACTGAAGTTAAGCTTTTTAAAGATAATGCTGGAAGATTTCAAAGCATCAATTTGCAGCTGTGTGGATTTGTGGTGGTATTTGCAAGCAAATTTTTCAAATCCTGGTAGACTTTTTTTTAGTGTGTGTGTGGTTTGTTTTTTTTTAATTGAGATGGAGTCTCACTGTTGCCCAGGCTGGAGTGCAGTAGCACGATCTTGGCTCACTGCAGCCTCCGTCTCCTGTGTTCTGGCAGTTTTCTGCCTCTGCCTCCTGAGTAGCTGGGATTATAGGTGCCCGCCACCATGCCCCGCTAATTTTTGTATTTTTAGTAAAGATGGGATTTCACCATGTTGGCCAGGCTGGTGGTCTTGAACTCCTGACCTTGTGATCCACCCACCTCGGCCTCCCAAAGTGCTGGGATTACAGGCATGAGCCACTGCGCCTGGCTGACTTTTTTTAGTTTTAAATAAGTTATCTTGAGTGATGATTTACTTCAGGAATGGCTATATGGTTAAAGATCAGAATGGTGTATGAGTTACCTTTCAAAGATTACTTTTCTGTATGTAGTCATAATGTGTGGGCAAACATTAATGTGATGTTACCCCTTTTACTCTGCTTAAGTAGCTGCTTGTTTAAGATCTTGATGACTGATTGGTTATATATGGTGCAGTTTTGTGTTTTAAAATGAGTATTACTTTATGATGAATGGAGAAAATGTTTAACCTTTTTTTAAAATGGGAAATATTTAAAACTACAGAAATAGAAAAGTTGCACCAGTTGTGGTCCGTGGACCAGCGGTGTTGGCATCATTTGGGAGCTTATTATAACTGTAGAACCTTGTGCCTCGCCCCAGACGTACTGAATCAGAATCTTCATTTTAACAAGATTCTAAGTGATTCTTATGTATTAAGTTCATATACATTTATATGAAGCTATTCATCTGGAGTCATAGCATCTTGCCACTTTGTTATTGATGTTGTTATACATGGTTTTCATTCTCTGCGAACCTCCAATTAATTGTGTCTTGAGCAGGACTAGCAAGAGGCTAGGTAAGTTTCGTTTCTCCGGAAGCAGTAACAATGGCAACTGATGATTGTTGAGCTCTTGCTGTGCCTTAACCTAGCATGATGCACATAGGGCATTGTGCATTACTTGAATTGTCACAGTTCATCCTCACAAAACTTCTGTGATGTATACATTGTTATGATTCCCACTTTCCAGATGGGGAAACAAGATTTATAGCCATTTTATTTATTTTTTTATTCTTTTTTAAAAAACTATTACCTAAACTCTATACTTGGATTTCATTGATTTTTCCATTAACTCCCTCTTTTCTGTTGTAGGATTAAATCCAGAGTGCCACATTGCATTTAGTTGTCACGTCTCCCCAGTCTCCTTTCATCTGTGAGAGTTTCTAAGTCTTTCCTTAGTTTTCATGGTCTAAACCATCTTGAGAAATACTGGCCAGGTATCCTGTAGAATGTTTTTGAAATCTAGATTTGTCTTTTTTTTTTTTTTTTTGAGACGGCGTCTTGCTCTGTTGCCCAGGCTGGAGTGCAATGGCACGATCTCACCTCACTGCAACCTCCGCCTCCTGGGTTCAAACGATTCTCCTGCCACAGCCTCCCGAGTGACTGGGACTACAGGTGTGCACCACCATGCCTGGCTAATTTTTGTATTTTTAGTAGAGACAGGGTTTCTCTGTGTTGGTCAGGCTGATCTTGAACTCTTGACCTCAGGTAATCCACCCACCTTGGCCTCCCAGAGTGTTGGGATTACAGGTGTGTGAGCCACCACACCTGGCCTTGTCTATTGTTCTTAGGATAAACTAGGGTTATTGGTTTTTAGAAAGAATACCACAAAGATAAAGTGTGCTAGTCACATCATATGGGAAACATGTTATCCTCATGACATTACTGGTGGTGTTAACCTCTCACTTGGTCAAGGTAGTATTTGCAAGTTTCTCTACTGTAAAGTTACTGTTTTTCCCTTTCCATAATATATTCTTTGGAAGCAAGTCATTTTGTCTAGCCTACTTTCAAGAGGGTTGGGATAGGAATTAAATTCCATCTCCTGGTGGGGGGAGTATTTACATATATTAAATGGAATTTCTGTAAGGAAATTTCTAAATCGTTTATATATGTATGGATTTATGTATGTGCTTTGAGTTGTAATCCAGCTTAGTGGATTACAACTCTATAAAATATATATTTGTATATATTTATGTATAATAGGTATTTTATGTATCTATTGTATAATAGTTGACTTTTTTGTTACTTAAATTGATCTAGCCTTGGCTCTTGGAAGCTTTTTTAGGTTGGCTCGTATGTTTCTTTTACACACTGCCTTACTTTTACCCTAGAATCAGCCACTCTCCAAGGAGCCTTGGTTCCATTTTTTTGGAGAATGGCATTAGAAACCAAGATTTGGGTACTGGGTGTGCTTGTTGATATTCAAGTGTCACTGCTTTTATTTCCTCTCAGTGAACAAAGTAGACAGAGCTAGGTAATATATGTAGATATATTATGTATACCTACGTATCTATAGTCATTTCTGTATCCTTACGTCTGTATACATATTATCTCATACATAAACGTGAGTTCATACCGATGGCTCCAACTCTAATCCTGTGCTATAGGGTTCATTCTAACCTTTCTTTCTTATTGCTTTGTAACTTCCTTACTCAACATTGAGAAACCTGGCTCTGACCATCCACCATTTATCTGCTTATATATTCACTCATAATATACATGTAAAGCAGTTTTAGAATTTTTAGGATATACTTTATCAAGAGAAACTAATTTCGCAACTAAAATACGGTGTTTACATACAGTACACTTTAATATTTAGCCTTTAAGTTTCTAGTCAAAACACTGTTTTCTGATGTTGGTCAAGTTCATTTTTCTCTCACCCCTTTGAGTGTAATTATGTGATAAATTTATAATAAAATTAGATTCATTTGTCACAATCTGCATTCCATCCTGTGATCATCATCATACTGGTTGATTTTTAAAATTTGCATATATTAATGCTTATTCAATGATGCACAGTTCTTTGGGTTTTGACAAGTGCATAGAATCATTTTTTCTGTACTCCAGTAATGTACAGAACAATTCCTTCATCTTAAAAGGTCCCAGATCTACTGAGCCAGAATTTCCATTTTAATAAGATTCCCAGGAGAATTGTATTCATGTTAAATTCATATGCATGTATATGAAGCTATTCACCTGTAGTCATTCAGCATCTTGCCATGTTGTAAAGTTATACATTAACTTCAAGAAAGATTATTATAATCTAGGGGTGATAATGGAATAGCCAGTTTAAATATGCAATTGAGTATATTCAAATTTGTGGGGCCAAATGGGCATGCAAGTGAGGTAAAAAGAAAATGGAGGGTAGATTACTAGAGTCATTTAATGAGCTATTTGGAAAGTTTTCATAGCATGCTTTAACTTTTGTAATTTTCATAATGATGAGAAATGTAGTTTGAAAAGAAAGAACAAATGATATATATTCAGAAGGGTGTTGGAGAGGAAGTTTTTTTTTTTGTTTTTTTTTTTTTTTGAAGAGTCTTGCTATGTTGCCAGGCTGGAGTGCTGTGGTGTGATCTTGGCTCACTGCATCCTCCAACAAGTGATTCTCCTGCCTCAGCCTCTCAAGTAGCTGTGATTACAGGCACGCGTCACCATGCCCAGCTAATTTTTGTATTTTTCGTACAGACGGGGTTTCACCATGTTGGCCAGGATAGTCTCGATCTCCTGACCTCGTGATCCGCCCGCCTTGGCCTCCCTAAGTGCTGGGATTACAGGTGTGAGCTCCCGCGCCCGGCTCAGGAAGATGTTTATGGAAGTCATAGTCCCCCATTAAAGAAGTATGCAAGTCCCCTAATAAGGAGAATGTATTTGACATCTAGCTTTGCAGTTCTTTACCTGAGGTTTATTCATTGTTAAAAGTTTTTGGCCAGGCGCGGTGGCTCACATCTGTAATCCCAGCACTTTTGGGAGGCCGAGTCGGGTGGATCACAAGGTCAGGAGATCGAGACCATCCTGGCTAATATGGTGAAAACCCCGTCTCTACTAAAAATACAAAAAAATTAGCTGGGCGTGTTGGCGGGCACCTGTGGTCCCAGCTACTCGGGAGGCTGAGGCGGGAGAATGGCATGAACCCAGGAGGCAGAGCTTGCAGTGAGCCGAGATCGTGCCACGGCACTCCAGCCTGGGCGACAGAGCGAGACTCCATCTCAAAAAAAAAAAAAAAGTTTTTCTGTGACTTAGTTCCAGGTGAAGGAAGGAAAAAAAAGGAAGCATAGCAGAAAAAACACTGCCAATGGGGACTGTATTCCCCACGTGAATGGGTTGGAACCACTAGTTTTAGGGAGAGATTCCAGGAATCTTGTACCAGAATCAACTTGTATATATGACTGAGAAAATTAGTGTTTATGATTGAAAATATATTATGTATCACTATGGTATGAGGTGACTGTTGAGTCAGAAGTCAACTTTAAATGTTAAATTGCACTCAGAAGTTTCTTTGGTGTAGATAGATTGAGATCTAAGTTATTGAGATTAAAATATGTAGAGACAAAGCTGGAGATGTGCAAAGTTCTATTCAAACAGTACTGACTTCTGGAATTCAGTGTCTACAGTATCTCTCAGAACTGAGGCATAAGGCACAAGAATAGCGGGGTACTCTTTTCTTAATGAGAATGACTCCAAATAGCTATTTCTCAGTTCCACTGTTGTTGCTTTCAGAAATACAAGTGTTTGTTTTCAGATAGTTATTTAGATGATTGAGCAACTACTACGTGGTAGATATCATGGGATTCTAAAATTTGAGTTCCTTTAAAGCTTATAATCAAGAAAGAGATAAAAGTCTTCAAAAATACATGTATATGTCAGGTGGATACTGTAAATGCAGAGAGATACTAAAATCTGTGGCCAATCAAATGTAGGAGTGAAGTTTGATCATAAGGACAAGTATCAAGCCCAATATTAATTAAGAGGTTGTTTTTTTTTTTTGTTTCTTTGTTTTTGGAGGGATGGGCTTAAAACCATGATAATCTTAAATTTCACGTATGTTAAAAATGTCCTGGTGATGTGACTTTGGTGGTAAGGCATTTAGACAGGCTTAAGCAAAAAGCAGAGTGATTTAATTTTTATACTAAGGAAAAGTATGTTAGTAAAAGCTAATGAGTCCTAGGATCAAAAGTTTTTATGTCAAGGCATGGGGCCATTGGAGAAGAGTGAAGTAACATTCTAAATTCCTACAAGCCTAAAACAAGGAGTCTTTTTGTTTTTATGCTTGAGATTGATTACTATTACTTCTGTAATACTGTTTTCACAGTTCTAAATGATTCAGTCCTCAGTTACATTAGTAAAAGGCAGAGGTCGGATATGAAAGGAAAATTTATAATAAAAGAATCAGAATTAGTTGTATAAGGGGTACCAAAATTTCTAATCATCTTTTATCTATTCCAGTTTTAGAATGTATTTTATAGTGAAGGATTAACCCATTGTCCACCCTAGCATCTGGTACATACTACATTGTTTATTTCACATTTTTTAACCAAATGACTCACAATAAAGGCAGTTTTTTCTTAGGTGCAGTACACACCCATAGGTATATGCAGACAGATGAAATGCCACATAACAAATAATTTTGTTTAAAATTACATATTGCTGGTAACTTCATTTTTTTGTGGCAGTATTCATTAAAGTAATTTAAAAGCATATAAATATTTTTAAACCTTTTTTTTTTTTTTTTTTTTTTTTTGAGACGGAGTTTCACTCTTGTTGCCCAGACTGGAGTGCAATGTTGCAATCTCGGCTCACCACAACCTCTGCCTCCCGGGTTCAAGCGATTCTCTTGCCTCAGCCTCCCGAGTTGCTGGGACTACAGGCATGCACTACCACACCTGGCTAATTTTGTATTTTTAGTAGAAACAGGATTTCTCCATGGTGGTCAGGCTGGTCTCGAACTCCTGAACTCAGGTGGTCCACCTGCCTTGGCCTCCCAAAGTGCTGGGATTACAGGTGTGGGCCACCACACCTGCCAAAACCTTTTTTAAAAAGCAAACTAAATATCAATAATCTCTTTAAAATTGAACTTTTATTTATTTATTTTTTAAGATGGAGTTTTGCTCTTGTTGCCTAGGCTGGAGTGCAGTGGTACAGTCTTGGCTCACTGGAACTTCCACCTCCTGGGTTCAAGCGATTCTCGTGCCTCAGCCTCCCAAGTAGCTGGGATTACAGGCATGTGCCACCATGCCTGGCTAATTTTTTGTATTTAGTTAGGACGGGGTTTCACCATGTTGATTGGACTGCTCTTGAACTCCTGACCTCAGGTGATCGACCCACCTCAGCCTCCTAAAGTGCTGGGATTTTGGGTGTGAGCCACCGCGCCCAGCCAAAATTGAACTTTTAAATGTAGGCATTATTTGCGTTAACTTAAATATTATTATGAATAATTTGAAGTTTATATTAAAGTACTGACAGTAGTAAAATGAGCCCCATGTACACACCATATAGCTTCAACATATTTTATTTCATAGCCCAATCTAATTTAATCTCTTAACTCCTGTTACCCTCTCCCACCTCACTTGATTTTTTGGAAACATAATTTCTCTATGTGTTAGACTTCTGCCTGAAAAAAGTCATTAAGGTTTGCCTTGTTGTTGTAACTATAAATTAGAGAATTAGAGATTTTCATTCATGTCATTGATACTATAATAAATTTTAGATGTATGTTAGGAAACTATTTTTCAGTGACTTTTCAGTGTATATATCCATAGCCCTTATTTCTCATCTGCTCATTCTCTGCTTACTAGAAAATATTTACTTTTGAGTTTATCCTGGGTTCAACACAACTAAGTAATCATCTTTGAAATTAGTCATGTTAAAAGTTACTCTTCCTAGTATCTCTCCACTTTTAACAGTTTTAAATTTCTTCAGTTAGAAACTTTAAGGAGATAGAATCATATTGTACTTTAAGCAGAGTTTATAATACAGTTTTGTCTTGGATTGATAGTTTAGAATGCTGAAAGGAACTGTTGTTTTGCTGGTCAGTGCTTAACAAAGCAGTGGAACTACCTGGTTTTCAGAGTTGTACAAATGAGAAGATGTTTTCCAGGTTTTCTGAAACCTTTTATAGTTTTTATTTGTACTATTTCATCAAACTTTGTATTTATGTGTGTGTATACTTCATCATGATGTAAAATGTATTATATAGGTCATGGTCCAAAAAGTTTGAAAGCCGTTGCTTGACTTTGGCCACTAATTGTTTTTTTGTTGTTGTTGTTAATGTTTAGCATTCAGTCATTACCTACTACTTTCCAGATTCTTTCTACAGTCATGCTAAAGTGGACAGTGGTCTATAAAATAACTAAAATAAAGGTCCTGACTTAATGATCTTCAAGACCTAGTTAGGAGAGATATATGTATAAAAATAATTGTAATACTGTGAAGGAATTATTAGTAACATGAGCAAAGTATTGTGGGAACATGAGCTAGGGCAATGATCTGTGCCTGGGGAAACCAGGGAATGGCTACCTAAAGGACATAGTTTTGAATAGTCTTATTTTTTAATAGTCTTGAAGAGTGAAAAGTTTTATTGATTGCTTTGGAGAGAAAGCATTCTCCAGACAGAGGGAAAAGTATGGAGAAAGATACCGTTGCTGAATTCTGAAATCACTCCCTATAAAACCATACATGTAATTGCATTTCCCCCATTTCCAGTTCCTCAGTCAGGAATCGGACCAGTTGTATTTTATCTTTTTACTTTCACATAAGGTATTTTTTTTTTCTATGGCATTTTGTTCCCAATAGAAACTCTAGCTCAGTACTCATTAGTTGAAGAGATGAGCAAGTGAGTTAAAATTGTGTATGTATAAAACCTGTTCTTTCCAAAATGTTTATTTCACAAATGTTAGTACAGTGTGTTAGCTAGAGAAACAGGGTACTATATTAGAGAACTAAAAACACAGGGGCTTAAATATAACTACTTCTCTTTCACTCCTAGGTAAGGGAGTTCAAACCTTTGGACAGCCTTACTCTTCTTAATGTATGGCTTCCAATACTAGTGGTTGCCCTTTTCAGCTAGCAGGGAGAAGATGCAAAGGGGGAGGATTTAAGGCAAGCCACTTCATTTTTAAGGCTGTGATGTAGAAATCACACATCACCATCACTTCTAGTTGTATCTCATTGGCCAGAACCTACTCACATGACTACACTGAGCTGTAGAAGATGCTGAGAAAGGTAATCTTTAGCTGGGTGGGCATGTGTCAACCTAAACTGGGGGGATGGTTGTTTTACTAGAGGACAAACAAAATAGATACTGGGTGGATAGGGAGGGGCACATTTTCTGCCACAAACATTAAGGAATTTTTTAAAAAAAAAACTACTACTCTCATCATAAGAAATGAGTGGCTTTTTTCTGAACTTCCTTTCAGTTCTCCATATATATTCGTAACTTGTACACTTGTTATTACAGTGTTGGCATTTGTTTACACAGCCTTCTCTGAGCTTGAATGTATTTGTATTATGAAAATAAAAGGATTAAATAAGAACCTAATATCTGGCACATAGCACCAACTAATAACATCTTTTCCTTTTTTTATTAAATAATTAAATAATTAGTTCTATGTGGCAGAAACCTGAGGCTCATCTAACCAGTGTACAGATATAAATACAACTAGAAGGAGAAGAAAGGGCTAGAGAGCTAGGGGAAAATAATTTATGGTTGAACTTCAGAACATCAAGTTAGTCCCAAATTTACCCTATGGGGGAAGTGTGCGTCCAAAAATTCTTTCAAGAATTCCCTAAAAGAAGGCTGCCTCCCCTTTTTTTAAGAGTTAGGGTCTGGCTCTTGTCCAGGCTATAGTGCAGTGGCACAGTTGATAGCTCATTGCAGCCTCGAACCCCTGGGTTTAAGGGATCCTCCTCCCTCAGCCTCCCGAGTAGCTAGGACTGAAGGCATATGCCACCTCCCCCAGCTAAGTTTATATATTTTTTTTGTAGAGATGGGATCTCATTATGTTGTCCAGGCTGATCTCAAACTCCTGGCCTCAAGTGATCTTCCCGCCTCAGCTTTCCAAAGTGTTGGGATTACAGGTGTGAGCCACCATGCCTAGCAAGAAGCTCTTTCGAATGACATTGACACTTAAGCAGTAGCTATAGGTGGAAGGGAACAAGAGGCATAGGATGAGAATTTAGTACACTATCCTGTATTCTTTAGTAAATAAAATTCTTTGATTTGTTTATTTATAGCTCTCTTTGTCAAGCACACAATCCTCCATTATAATTCTGTGGAAAATTAGTTTACCTTCTATCAGGGTTTCCCCAGCACCCCCAACTGGAATCTAATTCAGCTAATCACTGTTAACAGGTTAAAAATAAAGGAAAGAAAAAGTAGGGAAATTATATGTACAAGAAAGAAAATCTTTATGTGCTAAGGACAGAAGTAAATAAATGTATATGTTATATAATTGAAAATAAATAACAGATCTAAGGCTTTGGTATAAGCTGTCTAATTTACGTATAATGTTTAAATACACGTAAACAGTCTCTTCTCTAGTGCTACTAGCACTTGCCGAGGTGACTTTTGTATACATTTGACTTTGCTTTCTTTATTTTATTTTATTTTATTTTTTTGAGACAGAGTCTTGCCTTGTCGCTCGGGATGGAGTACCATGGCTCAATCTTGGCTCACTGCAACCTCTGCCTCCTGGGTTCTAGTGATTCCCGTGCCTCAGCCTCCTGAGTAGCTGGGAACACGAGCATGTGCCACCACACCTGGCTAATTTTTGTATTTTTAGTAGAGATGGGGTCTCACCATGTTGGGCAGGCTCGTCTTGAACTCCTGGCCTCAAATGATCCACCTGCTTCATCCTCCCACAAAGTGCTGGGTTATAGGTGTGAGCCACCGTGCCCAGTTTGACATTTGCCTTCTTTAATGTTCATTTTTATCTTTTCGGATTTTTTTAAAAAGTTTTGTTAAGTTATTTTATTTCTGTTGGCCTAGTTTGGCCAATTTATTGACACATTATACATTAGATAATTGTATTTTCATTTTTCATAAATTGAATGTTTACTTGCCTGTTATGTTCACTTCTGTGGCTTTTAAATTTTTCCATCATTGTACATTTTCACTACCTGCAAAGAAGATTTCACAATCTTGGATGTTAATAAAGAAAACTTGTGATATAGTAGGTTGCAGAAATCACACCTCTTACACTTCAGTATATATTTTTTAATTTTTTTTTCTTTTAGACCATTCTCTGTAACAGTCAGTATGTATTTTAGAATAAAAAAAGTATTCTTTTACTCAAGGCCTATATTGTTTATTAAGTTCAGGAAAATTTACACTGA
Organism: Homo sapiens; assembly: GCF_000001405.40. Taxonomy (NCBI): domain Eukaryota; kingdom Metazoa; phylum Chordata; class Mammalia; order Primates; family Hominidae; genus Homo; species Homo sapiens. The sequence goes on along the minus strand of NC_000005.10, from coordinate 98,911,953 downwards.
TTTAAGAGTACTTAAATTCTCAGTCTGCATTCCAGTTTGGTCAATCATCTTTCCGTACAGAGATTACATATTGCATTTGACTGTCGTATCTCTTTAATCTCCTTCATTCTGGACAGTTCCTCTTTCTTTGTCTTTCATGACATTGGCATTTTGAAAGACTATAAGCTAGTTATTTTATAGAATATATTTCTCAATTTGGGTTTTTCTGGTATTCACTTATCATTAGATCCAAGTTATGCATTCCTTACTCTGCGTACCAGGCTGGAGAACCGTGTTGGTAATGATATATCTTCTAAAGTGTTTCACAGCTGGAGCTCACATTGTTTGTCTGTCCCTATTAGTGATGCTACATTCAATCACCAGGACATGGTGTCCGGTTTCTCCACTGTGATTTCTAATTCATCTGTTACAGCTAAGAAGCAATTTGTGAGAAGACACTTTGAGTCTATGTAAATTATCCTACTCAGCAAACTTCCCCTAGATGTAGTATCCATTGATGATTTTTTGCCCAAACCAGCATTTTCTGTGATGATTGCATAATTATGGTTTTCTAAGACTAATACCCTTACCAGTTGACATTCAGAGCTCTATCAGAGCCCTCCTCTGTGTGTCTGTTTCTGTCATCAGCACAGACTCAAGGGTTCCTGTTTTATTTACTGAGCAGTGATCCTTAACTGTCTTTATTTTTATGCTCAAATCAGATTTGGTCAATGGAAGCCCCTTCAAGTGGGCTCTCATGTCCTTTTGTTTTTCCTCTGTCCTTTTTGACATGCCTCTATATATATATATATATATATATATATATATTTTTTTTTTTTTTTTTCATTTTAGCACAGGAAGGTTGTTAGACTCATCTTGTATCTTCCCTATTGCAGCCTTAGAGCCTGCCATTTCTCAAAGGAGCTGTAGTTTATTTAAGTGTGCAGTAGTATTTAGAAGTCAGGATCTAGGTGCTAGGTGATTGTAAATTTAAAACTTCAGAGAGGATGAGTTTACATTGGTTGATAAATAGCACATCAAAATACACACTGTCATAAATAAAAAAGATATCTGCAGAGGGCCATTTTTTTTTGTATCACTATTTGTAGAATCAGAGAACTGAAAACAACATGTACATCCTTGAGGCACATGAAACGATGGTGCATCTACAAAATGGAGTATATGCAGTTTCACAAAGAATAATATGTCCACTACTGCAGAATGATCTCCAGGATATAATGTGTATATAATCTGCTACCATTTATTTAAGAGTGTAAAATATGTTAATGATTATTTGTGAAAGGGGAATATAAACATTCTTATTCGTAATTTGCTCATGTTAAAAAAGGGGAAAATAAAAAATTTTTGAATGGTTACTATAGGGGAAGAGAGGACATAGTGTAGAGGAGTCAAGAATGGAAGCTGAACTTCTGACCATAGCTTGTTCTGTAGCTCCGAAGTTGGATCCAAGTAAATAAAGCAACATAAAATCAAAATTAGTAAGAAAGCAGTCTCTATTTAAAAAAGCAGATGGTCCTAACTGTGCCAAATTGGTGGTCACACAGAGATAAATTATTTTACCTGACTTTATAGCAGTTATTTGACTGTAGAAGTGAGTATTCCTGAAAACAAAAAGAATTGCATAGTCATCTTAACTTTAATAATCATATTGTTTATGATAATGGTATTATTTTGAAACTATTAAAATTGAAATAAAGCAAATAAATAGTGCCATTTGCAACCAACTCAACCCGAGTGATGACATGAACATACAATGGAAGTAAAAAGCTTGCAGTTTTGAATTTGAATTACATGAATTCTTAATGTAGTTTCTCTAAAAATACACACATCCTAGCTCATTCCATTGAAACATCCTAAATAAGGCAACCAGTCCAGTAGTAATAGGTTCACCTAGTACTTAGATTGCAACTTAGTTTCTAATTTATTATAAATAGAAGGGCTTTTTGATAAAATGGCTGGGTTATAGCCTCAGGCAAGAAATACGCAAGATGAGCCTGGTACATCCTGTCATACTAGAAAGATAGGCAGGTTATCAAAGACTACTTCAGGTCTTGTCAGAAGGACTTAAGAGCTAATAAAGGGTTTCCTGTTGGAAAAAGATGGGAGAGTTTGGAAATCAACAAGGATGCTGACAGTAGATTAAAATTTATAAAATAAGTTCAAATCCATGAGTTCATAATGGGACTTAAAAAATTATTGGTCTACTTTGAAGGATGCTGGCGATTTAACTCATTTTGAAAACTGGTAAATAAGGAAAAGAAATAAAACCCCTTTTCTTCATGAACTATACCTCAGAGTTAACAAATATGATGAGGGAAAGTTTCTCTTTACAGAAGTGTAATGAAGAAAAGATGTTTTGGGTAACTGATGAATGATGTCACCATTTTACTGCCTCTTATTAATGGAGGAAGACATATCATCATCAGTGGCTGCTAAAAATGCTAGGTATGAAGTGATGGGGAGCTTTATAATGGATGGATAAGGCTGGCAGTACCTGAATCCACAGATTTATACTAAATCTCACACAAAAGAAAACAACAAAACATTAAATGCCATCTGGTAGAAGTCCACAACACCACGTATAAACTATTCTTGTCAAGAAGAACTGAATTTGAATCTGATCAAGCCTCTAGATATAATAGCCAGTTTATAAGAAATACAAGGGATAGAAAAATATGTTAAATGATAACACAAGGGTGCGCTTAGCAAAATCTGGAAAGCAGAAGAGTGGAAGAAACAATTATGAGACTAAAGGGATAGCCTGATTGGATATTTAATATTCAGTGTACTTAATTTAATGTTTAATAATATTAAATATCTTTAATATTAACGAAGTGATCTTTTAAGAGATATTGGTATTGCAAATGTTTACAAATAGTTTCTTAGTTGAATCAAGATTGGTATGAGTTGCTAATTGTGGAGCTGGGTGATAGATTCATGATAATTCATCATATTGCTCAGTTTATATTTGAAATTGTATATTAAACTTGAAAAGACACTTTAATTTGAATTACTATTTTATCTTTTAAATGTGGTATTTCTCCTTAATTTACCCTAAGAAAACACTATAATTTTATCACAGTACCTATTAATGGTGGTTTTTCTTTCGTGAATTGAGGAAAAGAATTCAATGGGTTTATTTATTTATTTATTCCGTGGGTGTATTATCTGAATTAAGAATTCAGTGTTTTTAGCAATCTACCTACCACTTTAATACTGTTGTGCTGGTGAGATTTAATACACTTTAAGGATAATTCAAGTGTTGTACAGATATTTCAGTTTTATAAAAGATTAGTAATACTGGTTATTACCTAAAATAAAATATTAATTGGAGATCAGAGATTTAATAGCCAAATTTGTGAGTTTTACATAAAATATGTAAAACTGTGTCCCCTATATCTCTTTGATTTACTTATTTATTCATCTATCCATGAAACATTGTACTCTTCATTTAATGCTTGACATAAGAGCAGCAAAAAGCAATCCCAGCGCTCAAGGAACATAAGGTCTTAGGTAGGGTACCTGAAAACTACAGTGATTATTACATCGTTTGCTCATAACCAAGATAGAGGTATATATTCCAGAAGTTTTGGGAGTGCTGTGGAAGTAAACCTGATTTAACGTTGGGTTGGGATAGAGTTGGCAGAGATTTGCTGGAGGAGTAGCTGTGAGGTGGGACTCAAAAAATTACATAATAAAAAGAAAAGAGAAGGAATGGTACAAAGGCAGGAAGTGGAAAGAGTAAGTGGCTTTTAGAGAATTACATGTAGCTTGCCATAGCTTGAACTTAGGGATTTAAGTGAGCAACTAGTTGAAAATAGATTGGAGAATTAGAGAGAGATCCTGAAAGGTCTCATAGATGTTTGTTGAACTTTGTTATAGAACAGAAGACAAAAAAGAAAGGCCACCATCAGCTTTTTATTTTAGAAAGAGCATTTGCAGCAGTAGGTGGAAATAAAATTACTTTATTAGGGAGAGGCTTTTCACCTATTTTAGCTCAAAGTTTTAAGTCTAATTTTTTTTCTGGCCCCATGTATATTTTTCTTTCATTTTTAAAAATCTCTTTTTAAAAAAATCATGTAAAACATTTACGTAATTCTAAAACTGAAGACTCATTTCAATTGCTGTTCCTTCTACTCTTCCCTCCCTCTCTTTAGGCCATCATTTTCAAATTAGTTGGGTTATTCTGCCATTGTTGCTTTTCAAAAAATACAAGCAAATATATATAAATATTTTTCTTTCTTATGCAAAAGAAACATTCTATAAACATTTGGTATCTTTTTTTCACTTAAACTGTATCTTAGATCATTCTATAGCAGTAAATAAGATATTCCTTACTCTTTTTGCTTTTTTTTTTTTTTTTTTGAGATGGAGTTTTGCTCTTGTTGCCCAGGCTGGAGTGCAATGGCGTGAACTTGGCTCACTGCAACCTCCGCCTCCAGGGTTCAAGTGATTCTCCTGCCTCAGCCTCCCAAGTAGCTGGGATCACAGGCATGCGCCACCATGCCCAGCCAGTTTTGTATTTTCAGTAGAGTCGAGGTTTCTCCATGTTGGTCAGACTGGTCTCGAACTCCCGACCTCAGGTGATCCGCCCCCCTCTGCCTTCCAAAGTGCTGGGATTACAGGCATGAGCCACCGCTCCCAGCTCTTTTTGCATATTCTTTATCGTACTAAAGAACAACTCAATAAAATAAATACTTTATTCAGTATTTCTAATACCCAAGGTAAAGACATTCTAACAATAAACCTGTGCAACTAGAGTAGCATAGCCTCGGGCTGTTGCTTTTATCTCCAGCCAGTACTACTGCCTAAAGAATATGAAAGGAAAGATTTCTGTATTCATTTAAGAATTTTGATTTGTTAACAAGCAGTTTTTACTAGCTATGCATCTGGAATGACTAATGACTAATGAGAATTACAGGCCCACAATAGCCCCCACAATTTAATCATTCATCTGTCTACTGTTCACATATTTATTGAGCACCCATCTGTGTGAGGCACTCTGCTAGGTATTCTGGAAAAAAATTGAGTTTCATAAATATCCATTGTGTCATAGATACAAATTTAAGACATCATGAGGTCTACTTGTTAACCTTACTGTGTATGATCTCTACTTTCAAGATCTTCAGAGGAGATACTTTATTGCTACTAGCAGAATAATTTAATAGAACTCACATTCCTCAAAAGAAAGAGATACTCTTTTATTTCTTTGCTGAAGAATTCATTTAACAGCACTTTCTTCTAAGTGTTTTCTGACTACTGTACCAAACTTGGTTATATCTTTAGTGCTCCCCATACATGGGAATCAGTTGTCTTAAACATAGCAAAGAAGGATATTTATTCATTTATATGACTGTCTCGAGGTTAAATAGTTCTTTTGATGATAAAGACTTCATCTCATCTCAGTCTGTCCCCAGTGCCTAACACATGATAGTTCTCAATAAAGTTTATTGAATAAATGAAATATTTTGCTTACCTATTATGTTAAGGGAAAAATAAAGTTGTATGTCAGGAAAAAAAATCTTTTAATATCCTTGCTAAAATTTCTCGCAAGGTATGCAAGTAAAATATGGCCTTAAAAATTAAAATTTAATATGCTGTTTTTGGACCTCTAAACTATGTGACCAGAGAGGAGACATGATGGCAAAAATGATCTTCATAGCATATGCCTTTAAGAAGCAAATTTTAATTTACTGTTTCTATGAATACAACATTTATTCCATTAGATTGAAAAACACAACAATGCTTATTCATACTTTAAGCATTTATATATCTCACCTGTAGAATCAAAATTCTTCCTGCAAACTTTTATTTCTCTGTTCTCATGCAGAAATTACTAAATTCTTGCTCTGGAAAAAGAGAATTACTGTGTTGTCTTAGAGTAATACCTCCATCTGGTGGCATTTTAGAAAATTACAGAAGAGGACAGGAAACTTGTATTTTCTTGTATATCTGTAAACTGTATTACCTGTGGTTTCTCATAAAGCCAAATGAAATTACATCAAAAGCGGAGTCAACCATATGTACCAGAAATTTAATGCCCTAGTTTTCAACATATAAACAAATGACCTTGGGGATAATTATATAATCAACTGTTTAGTCCAGACTATTTCTGCTCTATCTTGGACTAAAAATTAGAAATGGAAAAAAGGATAGTTTATGAAATGTCAATTGCTTTTTTATGTGTGTGTATACACGTTAGGAAATATGAGAATTTGCTATTTCAGATTTATTGCTACAGATCCACAAAGAACTTATTAATAAGTGATTTTCTCAGACAAGCAGTGTTACTGATTTTTTAAAATAAATTATATTTTATCATAGCTCGGTTATAATAAATTATGTTCTCCTGGAGTGATAGAGATGGAAACTTGAAAACAAGCAGAAACTACAAATAAATTTCTGCCTGTTACTGTAAGAATTTTTTTTAACACATTTAATCTTTTCTTCACACATTTCTTACTTTATTATTGCTAGAGCTTTATAAAGGTAGGTACCATGCCTTCAACTTCTTGACTTCTCAAAGTTTCTAACCCAGGATTTTGTACTTAGTAGATTTTGCATATTGTCTTAGAAGAAGATTACAATCTTATTGCTTATGTTTTAGCCATAAAAATCTATAAAATATGTCATAAATCTATCAAGTATGTAATAATCTATCACGTATAAATAAATTATCAACTATGGCAGTTGTTACTATAGATTAAATCAATTCCTTTTTCTTTTTTTTGGCCAAAGATAGTTGAAATATTAAGTATGAAGTAAAATTTAATGATTTGGGGCTTTCTGCTGACGTCTAAGAAAAATTAAATTCCTAATGAATTTTGTTTGAAATTGTTTATTTTCAAATTATAGCCAGTCGGATGATGATTCTGGGTCAGCTTCAGGCTCTGGATCTGGTTCGAGTTCTGGAAGCAGTAGTGATGGAAGCAGTAGCCAGTCAGGTAGCAGTGACTCTGACTCCGGATCTGAATCAGGCAGTCAGTCAGAGTCTGAGTCAGACACTTCCCGAGAAAACAAAGTTCAAGCAAAACCACCGAAAGTTGATGGAGCTGAGGTAATCAATAAAATACCCAATGAAAGGTAGATTGCTTGTATTACTTTGGGAAAATTTAGAGGATTGGTTTATACCATTCTTAATCTAGCTTTTAGAGAAGACAACATTTTAAATTAAAATTTACTTTTAGTGATTCTCACATTCATGGTGGTACACCTGTGGACTAATTGGCTTGGAATAGATGCATTTTCGAACTAGAAAACACAAAGTGTAAATTACACACAGGCAAATAAAACGTTTTCTGCCTCTTAGGCAGAAATTGAGTTTCATAAATATCCATTGTGTCATAGATACAAATTTAAGACATTGTGAGGTCTACTTGTTAACCTTACCGTGTTATGATCTCTACTTTCAAGAGCTTCAAAGGAGATACTTTATTGCTACTAGCAGAATAATTTAATGGAACTCAGATTCCTCAAAGATAATGATGGAATAGGGTAAGGGGCTATTCTGTTTGGAAAAAACTACAAGAGATACAAAAACTTGTCTATACTTCGTGGTAGTATACAGTGTTACTCAGAGTACCAGTCTGTGATGAGATAAGATGCTTGAGGGCCAGAATATAAATCGACACACAGATTCCTTCATAGAGAAAAATGTTGCTACCGGCCCCCCGCTCAAATCTGAGCTAAAACAATGTGCCTAGTGACATCGTTGACGTATATTCTGACTCAGCCTCTTCACCTCACACTGATAAAATAGGTAACCACACTATGAGTAGCACTAATACAAATAATACTCTTAGCATCAAGAGGATATTGATTAATATTGTCTGTGGAACTCAACACACCATTTTTTTTTATACATAACTAGAGCTCAGCATTTTATTTAACTATATTGCAATGATAATTGTGTTACATATAGGTAAGGAATATAGTCTTTATTACTTTGAGGCAGTAAAGATGGTGGTATAGTTTTTCAATAAATTAACCTTTTTTTGCAGTTTTCTTAATACTTCTTCATTCACTGGTTTATATTTCTATTATAGTTTTGGAAATCTAGTCCTAGTATTCTGGCCGTTCAGAGATCTGCAATCCTCAAGAAGCAGCAACAGCAGCAGCAGCAACAACAACATCAAGCCTCATCTAATAGCGGATCAGAAGAGGTGCATTTTCATCATGAGCTATTATTTTAAAAGTGGACATGCTGCTGAATCAGTTAACTAGTATTTGTGAAATTATTAAAAATAATAAGTGCTTTGAAAGAATAAGTAGGAAATACTTTAAGTGTATATATCAAGAATCTTGAAATACAGATTTTGCATTATCCAGTAATTCCAATTTTAGGGATTAATCCAAAATAAGCAGTGGGACATTTGTGTGCATTTGCTCATTACAGCAAAATTAGAAATAAACTAAATGTGAACTCTGTGGGAAATAATTAAATGTGATATGCACCTACACGCATATACATGTATGAATGAAGGAATATTATATCATTAAATCATATTTGTACGAAATAATAACAGAAATCTCAACATAATATTTTTGAAAGAGTAGATGGCCACTATACACAATGTAGTTTGTGTGTGTGTGCAAGCATGCATACATGTATGTTTGCACAAAAACATTCAGGAAAAATTATAACAAAAAGTAATGGTGAAGAAAAAATTCAAAATTTGGCATGTTGGCACCTAGGATTTCTTGTTTTGGCTATACTAGGCAACAATAATGGTCTCCAGTGAGGGTAGATTTTAAGGTTTCATACAAAGTGCTGACATTTTGCTATTTACTTAATTTCACTGGCTATATTAATTTGCAATAAAAATGTTATTACTTTCAGCTAGTTAACATAAATAAAACTACATTGAAAAAAGGCTTCACAAGTGCTGTTATTTGTAAAGTGAATGTTAAATAGTATAGCAAATAAAAATTTAATATGGTTAAATTCTAATCATTAGTGGATGATACTGACTTTATTTCTTTTCTACAGGATTCCTCTAGCAGTGAAGATTCCGATGACTCATCAAGTGAGGTCAAAAGGAAAAAGCATAAAGAGTATGTCATTTTGTTCAACTGACTACTTCATTTTAGAAAAATCCTGATTATTTCATATTTCTTTCTTTATGAAAATTGTTGCCAAAAGGAGACTCTTCTAAATTCTTAGTTCATGGCATTTTATGAAGTTAATTTACACCATTACACAATTTAAAGATAAATCTTTAACATTTATCTTTCTGTGACCACCTGAGGGTATTATGCCATTTCTTTATCTCCTGTAACTCCCCCTATATATTTTTAAACTTTAATGATCTCCCTAGTTGTAATATCAGAAAATCTTAATAACTTGGGAATATAGGAGTATAGGGATGACAGGATGACTGATTTTGGATGGTTCTTATAATTATATTAATAGCTATCCTTACTATTCAGTTGCATGTGAAATTTACTTCATACCGTAGAACTCATTTTAGAAACTCACTGTAATTTCCTAAAGATCTGGACCCAGAAAGTATTAAGAATACTTCAGATTCTCAATCCATGTTTATTTTAATGATTTGGAAACATTATTCCATTTTCTTGTCTTTTATTTTCCTATTTGCCTTTGATATTCTGCATATTAGATTTGTTACTTATTTTTCCCAAAAAAAGATTCATGCATTTTTAATGCGAAGATTTGTATCTTTTATTAGTCTGTTCTATCTTTTATTCTGAAAATTCAATCATTTATCTTTGGATTTTTTTTCCTTTCTCTTTCTACAAATCTCTCTGGTCCTCCTATTAATAGATGTATATTGGATCATCCAGTTTTTTTTCCATTATAAAAATACACAACGGAAACTTTTTTTCGGTGTGCAAGCCCTGAAAAGATCTCAAAGTAAAAAATTTGCTTCTACTATGTTTTTATCATAAGCAGATTTTATCATATATGCTTGTTTATGTAGCCTTCATCATAGTTACAATTGGTGCAAAAGATACAGAGCAATGAAGCAGAAGCATAGCTGAAATAGGATATAGTGTATTTGTAAGAATTCAATGTGTGCCTTTCATTTGAACTTCTTATGATAGCAAAATATTAACATCCATTATTTTTCTCTACATGTTGATTGGAATGAAATAGACTTAATAGACTAAAAATAATAATACAGGTAAGGTACTCAGATTGAATATTTGAGATGGTACTACTGTTGCTCTTTTTTTTTTTTTTAATTTTTCTATGTTTCTTAATGAACGTGCACTATTTAAAAAATCAGTTTAAACAGGTGTTTTTCAAAATCACAACCTCTCGAGGATTAAAATGGCATGGATTAGTATCTCTTTTTTGAGAGGGCAAGTAGAATAATTTTATGAGATTTTCATCTATAATGAAAATTAAAATATCATTTATTTGCTGTTCACTGACGTATAACTAAGTGATTAGCAAAACTAGAGTTGTGAGAGAAGTCTATGAAGAATATTTTCCAGAGTGTTTTTGTTTTATAAATATTTCATTTTTAGCATGAGTAAAAGCAACAGTATTTTTGATAGCGAATATAGTTTGGTTGATTTGATCATCTTTGTATTAGGGATAAAACTTGCCATATAAGTACAAATAAAAATACTTTATAAATTTTGTCTGCAGTGAAGATTGGCAAATGTCTGGGTCAGGATCTCCATCTCAGTCTGGTTCAGATTCAGAATCTGAAGAAGAGAGAGAGAAAAGCAGTTGTGATGAAACAGAATCTGATTATGAGCCAAAAAACAAAGTCAAAAGCAGAAAACCTCAAAATAGGTATGGTCTCAGTTTGGTGCTGAAAATTGATTGTGGAAAGTATTTGTTCTTTTTGTATATAGTTTCTCAAATCTTGTTTTTTTTTCTCTTTGCACTTTCCTAGATCTAAGTCAAAAAATGGAAAGAAGATTCTTGGACAAAAAAAGAGACAGATTGATTCATCTGAGGAGGATGATGATGAAGAAGATTATGATAATGATAAAAGAAGTTCTCGTCGCCAAGCAACTGTTAATGTTAGCTATAAGGAGGATGAAGAAATGAAAACAGATTCTGATGACCTACTGGAAGTCTGTGGAGAGGATGTTCCTCAACCTGAGGAAGAGGAATTTGAAACCATAGAAAGATTTATGGATTGTCGGATTGGGAGAAAAGGAGGTAGTTTTTAAAAAACCATTTATTGTTTGGTTATTTAAATAATATTTACAGGAGTAGAGGGCTGGGCACAGTGGGTCGCCCCTGTAATCCCAGTACTTTGGGGGGCCGAGGCCGATGGATCAGGAGTTCTAGACCTGAGGTCAGGAGTTCTAGACCAGCCTGGCCAACGTGGCAAAACCCCATCTCTACTAAAAATAGAAAAGATTAGCTAGGTGAGGTGGTGCGCACCTGTAGTCCCAGCTACTTGGGAAGCCGAGGCAAGGGAATTGCTTGAACCCACGAGGCTGAGGTTGCAGTGAGCTGAGATTGCACGACTGCACTCCAGCCTGGGTGACAGAGCGAAACTCCATCTCAAAAAAAAAAAAAAAAGGTAAAGTATTTAAGATTTTTCTACAGTGTTGAAAGCTAAGAGGGTGGATTTTTTGTTGTTGTTGTTTTACTTATGTTTTATAAAAGCTACTTTGCTTAGCCTGAGTACCTTCTTAATAACCACCTGACCACATTTCTTTTTTCTTTTTTTTTTTTTTTTGTGACAGAATCTCGTTCTGTTGTCCAGGCTGGAGTGCAGTGGCACGGTCTCAGCTCACTGCAAGCTCCGCCTCCCAGGTTCACGCCATTCTCCTGCCTCAGCCTCCCGAGTAGCTGGGACTACAGGTGCCTGCCAGGACACCTGGCTGATTTTTTGTATTTTTAGCAGAGATGGGGTTTCACCGTGTTAGCCAGGATGGTCTTGATCTCCTGACCTCGTGATCCGCCCGCCTCGGCCTCCCAAATTGCTGGGATTACAGGCGTGAGCCACCGTGCTGGGCCTCCAGCTGACCACGTTTCATATATTGTGGATAATTATAGAATAATGCTGTGGGATCTCAGGTGGATCTCTGTCTTTTTATTTTTTCTAATTCGAAAAAGGAGGGGATTATATTAGATAATTCTGAAATTCTCAGTTTTATTTATGAGCAATAGAATTTCCCATAAGTTTCTATACCCCCAATACTTTATTTAAAAGAGTATATATTTTTGTACTCATATTATTGAAATTTTGAGTTGAAATATAATCCTACAACAGAATTAATTACATGGAAGGATCTTGTGCTTTTGTTTTCAGCTACTGGTGCTACTACAACCATCTATGCAGTTGAAGCAGATGGTGACCCAAATGCAGGCTTTGAAAAAAACAAAGAACCAGGAGAGATTCAGTATTTAATTAAATGGAAAGGATGGTCCCATATCCACAACACTTGGGAGACAGAAGAAACCCTCAAGCAGCAGAATGTTAGAGGAATGAAAAAATTGGATAATTATAAGAAAAAAGATCAGGAAACAAAAAGATGGTAAGTATGCTGTATATCATATACTTCTTTTAATAGTTCAAAGATTACTAAACCTTTATGTTAATAAAGAATACATAGTAACATTAAATGATAGCCTAAAATAGCTATAGACTTTATAATACAGTTGGCTGTCTTTGTCCACAGCTTCTCTATCCTTGGTTTCAACCAACCATGGATTGAAAGTATTCGGAGGGAAAAAAAACAACAATAACACAAATTAAAAACAATACCATGTAACAACTATTTGCACTGCATTTACGTTGTAAATGTAAAATTGGGTATTATAAGAACATCTAGAGATGATTTAAAGTATGGGGGAGGATGTGTGTGGGTTATATTTTAGGTACCATGTCATTTCATATAAGGGACTTGAGCATCCTCAGATTCTGGTATCTGTAGAGGATCCTCAACCAATCCCCTGCAGGTAGTGAGGGATGATTTTATTCCATCTCAAGGTAAAACTCCTAGAGGTATACCTATCTAAACCTATCCTTGGTAACAGTCACATAGAGTGTGTCTCATACATTATAAATTACAAATTTTTAGTTAAAAATTAATGATGCTTTATTCCTGTTTGAGTTTCTTTATTACTCAAACTTGGCCCACACAGTGGCAAAATGGGAGATTTTGTGCTACAAATAGTGTTGGGGATGGGGGAGTGAAAGGTTATTTATGGGAGATTTTTAAGTCTATTCCTGGATTAATAATTTTTCAGGTTGAAAAATGCCTCTCCAGAAGATGTGGAATATTATAATTGCCAGCAAGAACTTACAGATGATCTACATAAACAGTATCAAATAGTGGAACGTATAATTGGTTAGTGATAAATGATTCTAGTTAAACTTTCTTTTTATGCTTGAAATAATCTGAAAAAAGTCATAAGTTTGCCACTTACATATCAAACACAGTAGCTTGCTCTTACTAAAACAGTATTGTAAACTAGATAGCTAAATTTTACTTGTGTAGCCTTTACTAAGAATTATGTATCTGATGATTAAATGTAAAAAAAAATAAATAAATAAGTAAATGCCTGATTCTCTCACAGCTCATTCCAATCAAAAGTCAGCAGCTGGTTATCCTGATTATTACTGCAAATGGCAGGGCCTTCCATACTCAGAGTGCAGCTGGGAAGATGGAGCTCTCATTTCCAAAAAGTTTCAAGCATGCATTGATGAGTATTTTAGCAGGAACCAATCAAAAACCACTCCTTTTAAAGATTGCAAAGTGAGTATTGTCTAACATTTTAAATTATTAAAAATATATTTATACATTATAAATATTTACAAGCCTAAATACAAGAGTTGGATCCTGATTTCAGATAGACTAAGGGAGAATATTTCTTGGTTAATAGGTCTTACAGGAAGTGAACTTCTGCAATTGCTGTGTGTTTTTTAGTTTTAGTTTTATAATTTTTTATTTCAAACTTTCTCTTAAAAAAATTGTAAATGATGTTTTCGTCAATGTATCTTCTTAAGTGTTGTCTTTTATCTTGTTGAGCATCACTATGTCAGAAAGATGAGTTGGTTATGGTGATTGTCAGGAAGGGTTGGGAGAATAAACAGAAAAAAACCCTTGGAAACTAGAGATATGCTCAATTTTAAAGATAGTGGATATTTTCTTAGAAGGTAGAGAAAAAGGAGAGTGATATAGGAAAGTATCCAGAACTACCTTGCACAATACTTTCTGCATCCTTGTAACTTACCCAGAGTTACTAGTGATGTGTTGAGATCTATGGACTACTAGACTTTCTTTCCTTATTACAAGAATTACATTCTTCATAGGGATAACTTGGAA